>NC_000003.12:90010000-90190034 GCF_000001405.40 Homo sapiens | reverse complement strand
CAGCAAAAAGCTTATCCACCATGATCATGTCAGCTTCATCCTTGGGATTCAAGGCTGGTTCAACATATGCACATCAATAAAAGTAATCCATCACATAAACAGAACCAAAGACAAAAACCACATGATTATCTCAATAGATGCAGAAAAGGCCTTCAGCAAAATTCAACAGCCCTTCATGCTAAAAACTCTCAATAAACTAGATATTGATGGAACGTATCTCAAAATAATAGCAGTCATTTATGAGAAACCCACAGCCAATATCATACCGAATGGGCAAAAACTGGAAGCATTCCCTTTGAAAACTGGCACAAGGCAAGGATGCCCTCTCTTACAACTCCTATTCAACATAGTGTTGGAAGTTCTGGCCAGGGAAATCAGGCGAGATAAAGAAATAAAGGGTATTCAATTAGGAAAAGAGGAAGTCAAATTCTTCCTGTTTGCAGATGACATGACTATATATTTAGAAAACCCCATCATTTTAGCCCAAAATCTCTTTAAGCTGATAAGCAACTTCAGCAAAGTCTCAGGATACAAAATCAATGTGCCAAAATCACAAGCATTCCTATACACCAATAACAGACAAACAGAGAGTCAAATCATGAGTGAACTCCCATTCACAATTGCTTCAAAGAGAATAAAATACCTAGGAATCTAACTTACAAGGGATGTGAAGGACCTCTTCAAGGAGAACTACAAACCACCACTCAATGAAATAAAAGAGGACACAAACAAATGGAAGAACATTTCATGTTCATGAATAGGGAGAATCAATATCATGAAAATGGCCATACTGTCCAAGGTAATTTATAGATTCAACGCCATCCCCATCAAGCTACCAATGACTTTCTTCACAGAATTAGAAAAAACTACTTTGAAGTTCATATCGAATCACAGAGGAGCCCACATTGCCAAGACAATCCTAAGCAAAAAGAACAAAGCTGGAAGCATCACACTACTTGACTTCAAACTATATTACAAGGCTACAGTAACCAAAATAGCATGGTACTGGTACCAAAACAGAGATGTAGACCAATGGAACAGAACAGAGACCTCAGAAATAACACCACACATATACAACCATCTGATCTTTGACAAACCTGACAAAAACAAGAAATGGGTAAAGGATTCCCTATTTAATAAATGGTGCTGGGAAAACTGGCTAGCCATATGTAGAAAGCTGAAACTGGATCCCTTCCTTACACCTTACACGAAAATTAATTCAAGGTGGCTTAAAGACTTAAATGTTAGACCTAAAACTCTAAAAACCCTAGAAGAAAACCTAGGTGATACCATTCAGGACATAGGCCTGGGCAAAGACTTCATGACTAAAACACCAAAAGCAATGACAACAAAAGCCAAAATTGACGAATGAGATCTAATTAAACTAAAGAGCTTCTGCACAGCAAATGAAACTACCATCAGGGTGAGCAGGTAACCTACAAAATGGGAGAAAATTTTTGCAATCTACCCATCTGACAAAGGGCTAATATCCAGAATCTACAATGAACTCAAACAAATTTACAAGAAAAAAACAAGCCCATCAAAAAATGGGCAAAGGATATGAAAAAACACTTCTCAAAAAAAAGACATTTAGGCAGCCAACAGACACATGATAAAATTCTCATCATCATCTCTGGCCATCAGAGAAATGCAAATCAAAACCACAATGAGATACCATCTCACACCAGTTAAAATGGCGATCATTAAAAAGTCAGGAAACAACAGATGCTGGAGAGGACGTGGAGAAATAGGAACACTTTCACACTGTTGGTGGGAATGTAAATGAGTTCAACCATTGTGGAAGACAGTGTAGCGATTCCTTAAGGATCTAGAACCAGAAATACCATTTGACAGAGGGATCCCATTACTGGGTATATACCAAAAGATTATAAATCATGCTACTACAAAGACACGTGCACACGTATGTTTATTGCAGCACTATTCGCAATAGCAAAGACTTGGAACCAACCCAAATGTCCATCAGTAATAGACTGGATTAAGAAAATGTGGCATATATACACCATAGAATACTATGAAGCCATAAAAAAGGATGAGTTCATGTCCTTTGTAGGGACATGGATGAAGCTGGAAACCATCATTCTCAGCAAACTATCACAAGGACAGAAAACCAAACACCGCATGTTCTCACTCATAGGTGGAAATTGAACAATGAGAACACTTGGACAGGGCAGGAAATATCACACACCGGCACCTGTCCTGGGGTGGGGAGCTGGGGGAGGGATAGTATTAGGAGAAATACCTAACGCAAATGACGAGTTAATGGGCGCAGCAAACCAACATGGCACGTGTATACCTACGTAACAAACCCGCATGTTGTGCACATGTACCCTGGAACTTAAACTATAATAATAATAATAATAATAATAATAATAATAATAAAAAAAACAAAAACATCGAATTCTGGCATACTGAACTGAAACAGACTTTAATTAGGGAACACAGTCATGAACGTGAAGTCAGTGACAGATGCATGGTGTTTGGGAATTTGTGTATGTGGTCCAAATTCACCAATTAAAGTAGGAATAATAACTTTGTGATATGGATCATAATTAAATTTTATATTATTTTCACTAATCTATATGATGTCTTAATTCATCTTAACAGTTTAAAATGTGTATTTTTGTGGTTTTCCATAATGTAGTAATTTTTCGACTGTTTATTCTTAAGTTGTAATCTCTGATTCAAAGCTTCAATGAGACAGAGTCATTTTCATTTCTGATTTTTCTCAAGGACAATCAAGAACTCTTCTCCACTTTATATCTGTGGCTTAAGTTATAACCAGGTAGGATTATTTTTAAATAAAATAATCACAATGGAGTGACAGGTCATTTGGTATATTCTGCTGTGTGTTGCCTAATTGCATTTAATTCATTGTAGAGACAAGAACGCTTAAGCTTGTTTGAAATTTATCACATGGATCCAGGTGAAGGTTCATAACTTCCTGCAGAGGACATGTGTGCACATTCTGAGAAACTAGACAGGGCATGACATGGGTCAATGTGTACATGTGATATGTCCTTCACTCTTCATGAATCCCTTTCATTAGCACCATGGGCTTGATGGGGAGGAACTTCTCAGAGAGAAAGAAGTAAAGCTGAAGCAGCTGATGCAGTAGAATGAGCACTGGCTTAGAAACAGAATTGTTCATTGACACACTGAGAGAAAGAGCTAACACAGAAGACAGCTTAAGATGGTATAGCAGTGTGGAAATGACCTGGGCTCTGGTGACAGAGATCTAGGTTCCCCTTCCAGATGATTAGCTGTGAGTGAGCTATTATTCTTTAAGTTTCAGCTTTGGAATATTTAAAATAGGAATAATATCCACATCAAAGTATCAATGCGACATGTAAATGAGCTATGGCATGTAGAGATTTAAATACAGGGCTTGATATATAATAGGTACTCTGTAAAAAAGTTACCTTTTAAATAGTAATAATATTATATTTAATCATAATATTAAAAACGTTATCTTAAATTATTTTAACCAATAAAACTCCCAATGGCCAAGTTAAAATTGTACTCCTCAATAAATGGTGTAATTGTTAATCACTTTTTAAAATGTCACTTTCAGTTTAAACTCTTTCTGTTCTCAAAGACAAATACACTCTTGCTCAGGAAATCCCTCTGTGTCAGCTAGGGTTTTTCTCACTTTTTTCTCCAAGGTCCAATAAAGGCTCTCTTTGCAGATATTCCCTGTAGCCTGAACTTGGGTAGCTATGTACAATACCGAGTGCCATACCTTGAGCCAAACCATGCACCTTTTCTTTTAAAGGAGAAGGAAACTTCCAAGAGTCGTGGGACTTGGCAGTCATTTGTATACTGTATAATTCTACTAATTTTTATCAGTATCATTACACTTTCTATCAATAAAATGAGTCAACCATATTTACTTTTATTCCACACAAATGGGACTAGAAATAATCTGGCTTATCACTATAAAGAGTTTTGTAATCTTTAGAGTTATGGAGTAATCTTTCTTTTCTATTAAAGTTTATTGAAATACATTTCTTTTACACGAAAATTTATTTTCAAATTCTTAAAAAGGCTGTGAAAAGTTACTATATTAAATGAAAGGAAATCATGAATTGAAACAGAAGAGTTAGATTGAGAGCTATGGTTAAGTGCCATAAAGCAGAGATGTGTGTGCAGACACAAAAATAAAACAGACGTGAAGGAAGAAACAGAGCAGCCATGAGGCTCCAGTGGCCTGGAGAGAGAGTGAGATGATTTGGTTCCAGTTCTTCAAGGGGGATTGGCTGCTCATATTGCTCTTTGTTTGTATCACATAGTCATTGTCTTAGGTTGGGTTCCCCAATCTAAGGAAACGATAAACAAGGCATCTGAAAGATAACTCTCGGCCGGGCGTGGTGGCTCACGCCTGTAATCCCAGCATTTTGGGAGGCCAAGGCGGGTGGATCACGAGGTCAGGAGATCGAGACCATCCTGGCTAACACGGTGAAACCCCGTCTCTACTAAAAATACAAAAAAATAGCCAGGCGTGGTGGCGGGCGCCTGTAGTCCCAGCTACTCGGGAGGCTGAGGCAGGAGAATGGCGTGAACCCAGGAGACAGAGCTTGCAGTGAGCGAGATCGCGCCCCTGCACTCCAGCCTGGGAGAGAGAACGAGAATCCGCCTCGAAAAAATAAAAAAAATAAAAAAAAAAAAAAAAAGAAAGATACTCTTTGTGTTAGGTAAATTTCTTCAAAATAAGGAAATATTAGGCTAGGAATTCATATGCAAATAATTTATTAAAGAAGTGTTCCAGGTTAAATTGGCAAGGGAATGAGGGAAGGAGGGGAGGGAAGGTAAGAAGCCAGGGTACCACTTCAAGCAGGGGTGATGCCAGTCTGATTCAGCAGGGAATTTTGGAATGTAAGTTACAAGGCACTGTTTGTCCTGACTTAAGGCAAGGGAACTGGGCTTTCATACTCCCACACCAATGAGTCATTAGCTTGTGACCATCTTGGGAGGCATGGTGGTTGCAAATTCCAAGCATTTCCTCTTCTCTGCTTATGGGGGCAAAGATGCTTCATTTAGCTCAAGGCCCTTCTTCAAAGAGGATGGCTGGAGTGGCATCCGGAACTGTGGCAGAATAAATTTTTTTTATGCCGCGAAGTTTTTGGTAATGTGTTACAGTCGCCATAGGAATCACACAGCGACTATGCCTTTTTATTAAAGAATCAGCAGGCAAAAAACTGCTTTCTCAAATTGCTCACAACTTTCTAAATGCTTCTTCTCAATTTCTATACCAAATTCCATCATGCTCTTTAAATCTTTTTTTTTATTTTAATAAATTTTTAGAACGTGTCATCCTTGCACAGGGGCCACGCTAATCTCTGTATCATTCTAATTTTAGTATATGTACTGCCAAGGCGAACACTAAATCACTTTGAGTAGCACTATACACTTATATCTACAGAATACATACCCTTTTTTTGCATAAACTATCTCAAATGAGTTTCTGTACTTTCAGTCAAAAGAATATTGAGTAAGATTGCTTCCATTCTTCCTTCTCCCTAGAACACAGACTTGTATTTATGAAGCTGGCCAGTGCTCCTTCCTCGATGTTGCCCATAGCTAGATCTTCTGGTTGTCCCTCATCTCTTCATGAGGGTTAAAAATTTAGGACACTTTCATTTGTAGCCCTATCATAAGCAGCTTCCAAGACACTCTTGTTGAACCACATCTAATAATGGTGACTAAATTCAATTTTTCTGGGATTGGCAGGCAATTAAATAATGTGTAGACTGGTCTTAATTGTGGACCTATCTCTTTTCATTATTAAGTCTTTCAAGAGTGTCAAAATTTGGCTAGACTTCTACCTGTTTTAATATATCTATTTACTCAGTTTGTTTTGTTTTCCATAATAGAATCTCATAACCAAAAGAACAGTGCATGTCTAATCTTTAGATTGGATAATCTTCATCTCTACTCAATACATTTTTTCTTTCTTCATTAAAATATTTACTTATTAGTTCATTTCTTTTTCTCTCATATACAAATATCTTTCTTTCCTACTAAAGGTCATGAGAGAAAAGTTATTTTATATGACCATTATAAACTCATGAACATGCAGGAAGTGACTGTATTAAATGGAAGAAAGTTATAAAATTAGTGATAGTTTAAGACCAAAATTTAGACTGATAGTTATGTTTAGGCTGATTTTATATTTGTTGATAACTTTTTATGTTTCATCTAATAAGAAATTTGTGGTGAGTGTTCAATAAAAAAGGGAAAGAAGGAAAGTAAATTAGGATTTTGTCTCTTAAAACTTGTTGGTGTATTTAAATCTTACATTCTGAGATAATATTTTGAAAGGCATTTGGCATTTCTTGAAACAATACGTAAAGATATGGGAGTTGAAATGATACTTCTCTCTCTAAAACTATCAGTTGAAGGCAGAAAATTCATCAGCTCATCTGATACTTTCTAAGGTGAAAGAAGTCATTAATAGAATTATGCTTCCCTGTAGTTTTTGCTATATTTAAATGTTGGAAAGGTTTTATTTCTAGAAAACAATTTAAGGGCTTTACAATATAAGACCTTTTGTATTTAAATCCAGAATCACTCTTTTATCAAATTTTGCTTTTGATTTTCGTGTTCTGACTGGAAGAAAGATTTTAATTTATAAGATATGATTCCATTAAACAATTTCATCATGATTACGATTTGAATGATTACACCCACCCTCAGTATTAGAGATGATACTAAAATTAAGTAGAAGGGAGTTGGACCTCATTTGATCTTGTACTCTTGAAAACAGATGAAATTATCTAAATGACAAAAGTATGATCTTGTGCTGTGTCTTTAACATTTTCAATTTAAATCACTTTGACTTCCCCTGTATCTGCACTTGTATTTGTCTATTTATGCACACAGCTTTTTTTAGTTGCATTAAAAAGGCACTACAGTTATAAAATATCATTTTAACTGTAACTTGTGATTTTGGAAAAAGTTATATAAATAACACAACTTTGGACTTTTGATAGATCTTCTATATGAAATATCCAGAATATTAAACAGGAAATAATAAATATTATTTGCTCCCTGTGGTTTTATCAGCTAGATTGACTTGGTTCTGACTTCAAACACACACCGCCTGGGTCCTCTGGTAAATAAAAGTGCTTGGGTTTACATCTATGGTATATTCCAGCTAACTCTTTTGCTAAGCTCTTTTTGGCAAGATAAAGGCTATCAGCATGAACCAAAACAAATAGCACAGTCTTTTTTTTTTTTCTTGACTTTTCATACCATTTCAAATAAGCTGATGTGTGCTGGATTGACCACACGATGGCAGTACATGAATGTCTTATAAATGAAAGCAAAGTAAAATGACTCTTCAGACTGCGCAATGACCCAAAGTATCCTCTTAAAACACGAATGTGGCCGTGCCCGTTGGCTCGTGCCTGTAATCCCAGCACTCTGGGAGGCCGAAGCGGGAGGATCATGGGGCCAGGAGTTCGAAATCGTCCTGGCCAACATGGTGAAACCCCGTCTCTACTTAAAATACAAAAATCAGCGCGGAGTATGGGGTGCTTGTAGCATCCGAGCTACTTGGGAGCCTGTGGCGGAGGTTGCAGTGAGCCCAGATCCTACCACTGCACTCCAGCCTGGGTGACAGAGCAAGACTCCGTCTCGAAAAATAAATAAATAAATAAATAAATAAATAAATAAATAAATAAATAAATATAAACCCCACAAATGTGTCCCTATTCCACGGAATATCTTTCGTATTGCAAATATTGTCAATTTATGTCCTTAATATTGAGATTTTCCCTTTCACCACAGACTGATAGAATTGTTACTATTCAGTGAAAACAGATATATGTTAAAGACATTGCTTTGATTTTATTTTAATTGAAAGAATGGCCAGGCATATATTATAATCTTTAGGCATAAAGTAGCATTAACCCCTCACTAACTTCTATAGCTCTTGCAAAAATAATAATTTCTAGTGTTTTTCCACTCTACTATTAATGCTCAAGACATCCTTCAAAGGTTACTAATAAACTAAATAACTATTTTAATGATGAAAAATGTAACCTAGATATTAAAATTTCAAGACAAGTGGAAAATCATGGGCATTATCTTTTAGAAGGGGACAGTTTACAGGTCAGTGGTTGAACTCCTATCAACCAAAGTGAAATAAAATCAATAGATAGAAGTACGCATATTTTAAAAGAGAAATGAGGCAACAGAAAGCAAATAAAATATATTTGATTATTTATAAAAGAGTTAAATCTTGTAATCTATATTGTACTCATGAAATGTAGGGACAGAAAACATTTATTCTTATTATTTGTACATTTTCATATTTTTTAAATAATATTCTTATTATTTGTACATTTTCATTTTTCATAGTACATAATCTATATTGTACTCATGAAATGTAGGGACAGAAAACATTTATTCTTATTATTTGTACATTTTGTACTCATGAAATGTAAGGACAGAAAACATTTATTCTTATTATTTGTACATTTTTCATGACACCTTATTTCTTTTTATTGTTGTGTTTTCAAGCAGCTTGTTCAAGTTTTCAAAAATGCTTCAGTTAGTTCTGCCTGTGACAGGTATTCATACTATCCAAGAATTCATTGTATTGAGAAAATATTTCTACCAGTTTTTTGAGGTTGCCCTTTGAATAATAGAAATTCCAAATGTCTATATAATCTAAGTACACCATCTTGCTCTTCTACATTACTTTTGCTTATCTTAAACATAACCAAGCCGAGTTGCATATCCTGTCTTCATTGTTTGACCCTACTTGACATTACGTGTTTCCTGAGCCTTTTTGGGAAAATCAGTTATTGATACAAATTCCTGTAGTTAAAAAAAAATCATCTGGCAATTGAAAACTAAGCACAGAACTCCTAGTTGTCCTGTGGATGCTTCTGAGAATGGACTATCTGTTTCCCTTTACTAACTTACTTGTATGCATAAACTATACCGTATGCAGAATCACAGAGGTTGTCTATTAAAATAAGGAAATCTTGTCTATTCTAATTTTATATTTGGATTAGTCTGTTCTCTATTGTTTAGATTGTTCCCTTAAATCACTTGTGTGTGCAAAAAGTAAAAGCTACAGAGAAAGGACTCACAGAAAATTGTACCCTTCCTCTTATCTCCTTTCTCTGCCTCATTCATCCTTTCATTTCCTTTTCTCTCTCCTCTCTGCTCCCTTTTTCTTAAATTGGAATTCTAGTTTCTCAAAGACAGATGAGAATTATAGGAAATACGGAAGGAAATGCACTATTATCAAATTACAGCCTCAAGGGATACAGTAATAAACATCAATCTGAAGTTATTTGGGAATAGATTGCATGGTTATTATGGGCACACGCAAACTGTATGTAAATAAACTTGTGACCCACTTACGTACTGGTCTTGGAAGTCATATCTCACTTCTTAAATGCTGCTTAGTCTGACTATCTTGAAATTTCCCTATCCTCAGCATGAAAGGTTATCCCCATTAAAAATAATATCAATATTTTCATTTCAATAGCTTTAAATATGGAGCCAAAATAACCATATGTGAACTGTTGCTTCATCCTGTCATCCTCACCTATTTGGTCATGATAATTACACCACTGTAACCAGCTTGAATTTTCTTTTAGTTCTAATTCTAAAATGATCCATGTTACTATGATGAATATGTGTTTTTATGGAGCTGGCTCCATTTCCTCATCCTTAGGATTGGGTGATTGTGTTTCCTCTCGGGATGAATTAGAGTAGTATATTTGAGATTATATTTCATTAGCTTTATTGCTGCTTGTTAAGGTTTTATTATCCTCTCTGTTTTATGTTTCAGGCTGGCAACACTTGCCAGCAGTGCTAAGTGACTTGATACATATGAAACATAAGTTTGTGCCCGAAGAACATGCTGTCTGCACATATAATGGTGACTTAGAAGTGATATTTTATAATGCTATTAAACATATGCATACACAAAACAGCTATCTAGAATTAAGGAACTTTATTTCAAATTTTCTCTCATCTTAGTTCAAGTTTGCAGCATTTCTCCTAAGTGGTAATATAGTATGCTTTAAATAGGAATTCATTCATTCGGAATGATTTTCATTTATTTCATGTAAGTGTTATCCACCATGTAGTTAGAATTCAATAATGTCTTTAAAGCAATCGAGCACTTGGGTAAAATCTGAAGCCACTTTGTGCTACTTAGGTTGATGTCTCTTTACTTAGCTGAATAAACAGTTAAGTAGATATAACGAAGAGTTGCACATCACATAATTGAAGTAGTGCTAGACAGGTTGATGGCTGAAAAGAAAGAATGTGTTCTACTATAGTTACAATCCCCATTCCTCTGAACTAACTATCCTGTATGGTACTCCCTAATACATTTATAGCAGTTATTAAAATGTGTGCAACTATTATCATAGGGAACATTATTCAAATAAACTACCTGAAATTCGACTTTTTCTAAAGAGTAAATTTGTAAGCAAATCTTTGTTTTTCAAAAAGGCAGTGTTTTAGTTTTCCAGTAAAGGGAATATTAGCTGCAACCTCTTCCAATAATGTAGTCTCTTGAAGAATGATTCATTTATGAATATTTATTAAAGTTCCATTATGTACCAAAGGATATCTTGAACTTTTTAAAAACACATTGTCATTTTCATATTATTAAACTTCACATAATTGAAACTAGTAAATGATACGAAAATCTATGGTTAGCTTGATGTTCAATTACCAATAACCTAAAATTTATTGAACATTTTAGAAAAAAAGTAGTGTAATCTATATTTTTATAGGGTTGCCCTTTCTTGGTAGTATTCTAACACTTAACAAATTTTACAAATTTGGATTAATCATGATCAAACGTCTCCTTACCCATTAAAAGCAAAACAGTACAAAAACAAAGTTTGTGTGAGAAAAAGAGGTAATCTGGAAATGTCAGCTTATGCATTCTCGAAGCAGACAGAATTTCACGCTTGCCTTCTGAGTGGCAATGCAGGGGGCCACAGACCCCTGAGCACCTGGCATTGCACTGTGTCCCAGCATTTCTTCTAAGGGGCCGGGGAAGTATCAAAGAATTTGGCACGTCCAACCTTAGAGAACTCTTGAGATCTCTGTGGTTTCACGTAACGGTGGAGAGTTTTATTCAGTTTCCCACTGATTCAAGATCCCAAGGGATCCTAAAAAAGAATGATCCTGAGACATCATAAGAATTCGAATTGTCTTTTAAAGAGCTTGGAGTTTCAGAACAAAATAAAACATAATGACAGTAAATTGTTTTGAAACTAAGCATTTACATGCGATGGGAATAAAAAAATTTAATGTGTACATGCTTGTCCCTTCTTTTCTGCTTGCCTCTAACTGCTAAGGAGAATTCTTTCCATTCCTATATTACATTCATGCTAATTTGGGCCAATGAATAAAAACAACCTGAAAAGGAAAAAGTAGGGTATTTACTTCGGGATGAGAGAAAAATAATGGGATTGAAGGAAAATAAGAGAGGAAGGAAAGGCAAAAGCCCACATGGGGTGTTCGGGCTGAGAAGAGTGCTTGGTTGGGGGCTAGGAGTAGCAGGGAGGGGGCCGGCCGCGGGCCCCCTGTAATCCCAGCACTTTGGGAGGTTGAGGTGGGCGGATCACGAGGTCAGGAGATTGAGATTATCCTGGCTAACACGGTGAAACCCCGTTTCTACTAAAAATCCAAAAAAAAAAAAAAAAATTGGGCGGGCGTGGTGCCGGGCGCCTGTAGTCCCATTTACTCGGGAGGTTGAGGCAGAAGAATGGCTTGAACCCGGGAGGCGGAGGTTGCAGTGAGCCGAGATGATGCCACTGCACTCCAGCCTCGGCGACAGCGCAAGACTCCGTCTCAAAAAAAAGAGTATCAGAGAGGAACTGCTGCTACCCTTGTGGGGATCAATGAGTTACAGAGAGTGCTATCATTTGAAATTCATGTTAAAATTTAATTGTCATTGTAACAGAATTAAGAGGTGGAAGCTTCTAGAAGAGATTAGGGTGTGAGGGCTCCACTCTCATGGGTAGCATTAGGATGTGATGCCTCCATTGTCATGGGTGCCATTGGTGTCATTATAAAAGGGCGAGTTTGGCCCCATCTTGCTCTCTCTCACGGTCTAGAGTCTTCTAACTTTTGCCTTGTGAGGATTCCTTCTTTTTTCCCTCTGGAGGATGCAGCATGAAAGACGCCATCTTGGAAGAAGAGAATGAGCTCACCAGACATGGAACCTGCCATTAACATAACTTAGATTTCTCAGATTTTCAGAACTGTGAGCCAATAAATTTCTATTTATAAATTATCCAGTCTGTGGCGTTGTTTTATAGCAGCACAAAACGGACTAAGGCAGGTGGAGAGAATAGAACGTGAGATGATCTATGGTTTTTAAAGTATTTTTCCATTCTGTTGCCATTTTGAAAAGGACATGTTTAAATGATTTGAATGTCTTAATTACTTCTGGTTACTGTTTGTGTTTCTCTGACCACACAAGGCTGAGCTGAGCCTGAATCACATGGGCATGGTTTTTATCCACAATACTCTACATTTCTGAAAGATATCAGGTTGCCAAATGCAGGAAACTCTTATGATTTTGCGTATCTCTTGGTAGGGAGCTTGTATCAGGCCATTTTTTCAGGCAGTGCAAAGACAGAAGTGTGATCATGTTCCTCTTCATTTTGAAGTTTTAGGCCTCTCATCTTTGGAGCAAAGTGTATGTTCTTGAATTACAAGACTCTTGAAAGAGAAAACCTTGTGGTGAGTGAGAGAAAATGAGCCTATAAGAAAAATCTTGGAAGGAGGCTTCGTTCAGTGCCACTGAGTTCAACTCCATTCCCTGGAGATGCTGAAATTGAGGAGGCCTAGGGTATTCTACCGAAACTTTCATTGAGACCATCCATTGCTCTGTGTTTCGTATTGAAAGAAGAGAGGCTATAGTCAAAACAATTAAGTATTTTAGCTATTGCGTTTTTCCCAGTAGCAGAAATGGTGGCAGTGATCTTCTGTCCTTATTCTCATGTTGATCAAGTTATAATACCATTCTTCATTTTCTTCTGGCTATCAAAAATAATAAAAAAATTCAACACATTCAAACCTAAACTTTAGGCTTTTCCCTCCTGAGATTTCCCCTCCAACTTTTCTTACCTTTGGTCTCCTGGTCTCTCAGTTTTAGAACTTAGAAATAATCTTTTGTTTTCATCTTCACTCTTGTCCAATCTTTGATGATCCATAATTTCTGCTCTTATAATGTTTCTCAGACTCTGATGATTGGCAACAATATGATTTTACTCAAGGTGTTCCAAATGGAGAAGCCTGTCCCCTTCCTCTCTAATTCTTTTAAGAGCACAAGTTAGTCTCCCACCTTAAGGTAGTGTGTACTCTTTACTCTAATGCCCCAGCCTGTGTCCCATCCCATACATACTTGGCAATTATCTATTGCTTGTGGGAATGATTGTGAAGTTTATTAAAATGCATTATTTTCATGTGCATCTGTCCTATATGTGTACTGAGTCCATAAACTATAAAAATTACTATGTTTGCCTTCTTTTCACAGTGACAGTGTCTTGTTGAGTATCCTTTTGAATGTATACATTTTAAAATGCTGGGTTTGGAAGAAGTGCTTGTCACTCGGTGAATTTAATCATAAGAAACACATTTTCAGTGTATAATGCAAGGTAACATGTAAATGACAGTTCAATGAACAAGAGGAGGGGAACACAGCCACACTTCTCAAGTACCCTTTGAAACAGAGAAAAGTGGACATGTATCCTAAGTGGCTGGAGTATAGCTGGAAGCAGCTGTATTAAATATGTTTGATGTTCCTGTTTAATCATGAAAATTCTGGGGAATTATTCTTATTTCCATGGTATCAGTATTTATTTTAATATAAAACTAATCATTTAATTTATGTACTAGTTTAACAACCTCTCTTCCCCTTTTGTGCCTCCAAAGTGTAACAAGATTGATACTCTAAAATTTGTCTGTGTAGTGGTGTTTCTCATCTTTTCAAAGGTATCTTTGAGATTTTAGAAACTTGTTGATAACAAGGCCAACGCTAGGCAGAAAATGAACAGCACATTAAAGGCTATTAAACAAGTGAGAAACAGTTTCATACACAATTTCCAAATGGAGAGCTGTATGTACTTTCACTGACCGAGATTGTGAATATAGTAGCAGAGATTTAAAAATTGAAAGTGATCATTAAACTCATAATAAATTATGTTTCATTTATTGGTTTTAATTGTGTTTAAACGAATTTACATATTCTACAAAAACCATTTTGGTATATATCTGTAAAATACAAAATCTGAACTATTCTATTTAAACTTTAATTTCACTTCTAAAGAGATTTATGTGAACTTAAATGTTTGAACATAGTGCTTCTTAACCACTTTTTAAATGAAAAAAACTTGTATTAGAAGTTCAGGGTAGGTCTTCGGTGGAGGAGCCAAGATGGCCGAATAGGAACAGCTCCGGTCTACAGCTCCCAGCGTGAGCGACGCAGAAGATGGGTGATTTCTGCATTTCCATCTGAGGTACCGGGTTCATCTCACTAGGGAGTGCCAGACAGTGGGCGCAGGCCAGTGTGTGTGCGCACCGTGCGCGAGCCAAAGCAGGGCGAGGCATTGCCTCACCTGGGAAGTGCAAGGGGTCAGGGAGTTCCCTTTCCGAGTCAAAGAAAGGGGTGACGGACGCACCTGGAAAATCGGGTCACTCCCACCCGAATATTGCGCTTTTCAGACCGGCTTAAGAAACGGCGCACCACGAGACTATATCCCACACCTGGCTCAGAGGGTCCTACGCCCACGGAATCTCGCTGATTGCTAGCACAGCAGTCTGAGATCAAACTGCAAGGTGGCAACGAGGCTGGGGGAGGGGCGCCTGCCATTGCCCAGGCTTGCTTAGGTAAACAAAGCAGCCAGGAAGCTCGAACTGGGTGGAGCCCACCACAGCTCAAGGAGGCCTGCCTGCCTCTGTAGGCTCCACCTCTGGGGGCAGGGCACAGACAAACAAAAAGACAGCAGTAACCTCTGCAGACTTAAGTGTCCCTGTCTGACAGCTTTGAAGAGAGCAGTGGTTCTCCCAGCACGCAGCTGGAGATCTGAGAACGGGCAGACTGCCTCCTCAAGTGGGTCCCTGACCCCTGACCCCCGAGCAGCCTAACTGGGAGGCACCCCCAGCAGGGGCACACTGACACCTCACACGGCAGGGTATTCCAACAGACCTGCAGCTGAGGGTCCTGTCTGTTAGAAGGAAAACTAACAACCAGAAAGGACATCTACACCGAAAACCCATCTGTACATCACCATCATCAAAGACCAAAAGTAGATAAAACCACAAAGATGGGGAAAAAACAGAACAGAAAAACTGGAAACTCTAAAACGCAGAGCGCCTCTCCTCCTCCAAAGGAACGCAGTTCCTCACCAGCAACAGAACAAAGCTGGATGGAGAATGATTTTGACGAGCTGAGAGAAGAAGGCTTCAGACGATCAAATTACTCTGAGCTACGGGAGGACATTCAAACCAAAGGCAAAGAAGTTGAAAACTTTGAAAAAAATTTAGAAGAATGTATAACTAGAATAACCAATACAGAGAAGTGCTTAAAGGAGCTGATGGAGCTGAAAACCAAGGCTCGAGAACTACGTGAAGAATGCAGAAGCCTCAGGAGCCGATGCGATCAACTGGAAGAAAGGGTATCAGCAATGGAAGATGAAATGAATGAAATGAAGCGAGAAGGGAAGTTTAGAGAAAAAAGAATAAAAAGAAATGAGCAAAGCCTCCAAGAAATATGGGACTATGTGAAAAGACCAAATGTACATCTGATTGGTGTACCTGAAAGTGATGTGGAGAATGGAACCAAGTTGGAAAACACTCTGCAGGATATTATCCAGGAGAACTTCCCCAATCTAGCAAGGCAGGCCAACGTTCAGATTCAGGAAATACAGAGAACGCCACAAAGATACTCCTCGAGAAGAGCAACTCCAAGACACATAATTGTCAGATTCACCAAAGTAGAAATGAAGGAAAAAATGTTAAGGGCAGCCAGAGAGAAAGGTCGGGTTACCCTCAAAGGAAAGCCCATCAGACTAACAGTGGATCTCTCGGCAGAAACCCTACAAGCCAGAAGAGAGTGGGGGCCAATATTCAACATTCTTAAAGAAAAGAATTTTCAAACCAGAATTTCATATCCAGCCAAACTAAGCTTCATAAGTGAAGGAGAAATAAAATACTTTATAGACAAGCAAATGCTGAGAGATTTTGTCACCACCAGGCCTGCCCTAAAAGAGCTCCTGAAGGAAGCGCTAAACATGGAAAGGAACAACCGGTACCAGCCGCTGCAAAATCATGCCAAAATGTAAAGACCATCGAGACTAGGAATAAACTGCATCAACTAATGAGCAAAATCACCAGCTAACATCATAATGACAGGATCAAATTCACACATAACAATATTAACTTTAAATATAAATGGACTAAATTCTGCAATTAAAAGACACAGACTGGCAAGTTGGATAAAGAGTCAAGACCCATCAGTGTGCTGTATTCAGGAAACCCATCTCACGTGCAGAGACACACATAGGCTCAAAATAAAAGGATGGAGGAAGATCTACCAAGCCAATGGAAAACAAAAAAAGCCAGGGGTTGCAATCCTAGTCTCTGATAAAACAGACTTTAAACCAACAAAGATCAAAAGAGACAAAGAAGGCCATTACATAATGGTAAAGGGATCAATTCAACAAGAGGAGCTAACTATCCAAAATATTTATGCACCCAATACAGGAGCACCCAGATTCATAAAGCAAGTCCTGAGTGACCTACAAAGAGACTTAGACTCCCACACATTAATAATGGGAGACTTTAACACCCCACTGTCAACATTAGACAGATCCATGAGACAGAAAGTCAACAAGGATACCCAGGAATTGAACTCAGCTCTGCACCAAGCGGACCTAATAGACATCTACAGAACTCTCCACCCCAAATCAACAGAATATACATTTTTTTCAGCACCACACCACACCTATTCCAAAATTGACCACATAGTTGGAAGTAAAGCTCTCCTCAGCAAATGTAAAAGAACAGAAATTATAACAAACTATCTCTCAGACCACAGTGCAATCAACCTAGAACTCAGGATTAAGAATCTCACTCAAAGCCGCTCAACTACATGGAAACTGAACAACCTGCTCCTGAAGGACTACTGGGTACATAACGAAATGAAGGCAGAAATAAAGATGTTCTTTGAAACCAACGAGAACAAAGACACCACATACCAGAATCTCTGGGACGCATTCAAAGCAGTTTGTAGAGGGAAATTTATAGCACTAAATGCCTACAAGAGAAAGCAGGAAAGATCCAAAATTGACACCCTAACATCACAATTAAAAGAACTAGAAAAGCAAGAGCAAACACATTCAAAAGCTAGCAGAAGGCAAGAAATAACTAAAATCAGAGCAGAACTGAAGGAAATAGAAACACAAAAAACCCTTCAAAAAATCAATGAATCCAGGAGCTGGTTTTTTGAAAAGATCAACAAAATTGATAGACCGCTAGCAAGACTAATAAAGAAGAAAAGAGAGAAGAATCAAATAGACGCAATAAAAAATGATAAAGGGGATATCACCACCGATCCCACAGAAATACAAACTACCATCAGAGAATACTACAAACACCTCTACGCAAATAAACTAGAAAATCTAGAAGAAATGGATACATTCCTCGACACATACACTCTCCCAAGACTAAACCAGGAAGAAGTTGAATCTCTGAATAGACCAATAACAGGATCTGAAATTGTGGCAATAATCAATAGTTTACCAACCAAAAAGAGTCCAGGACCAGATGGATTCACAGCCAAATTCTACCAGAGGTACAAGGAGGAACTGGTACCATTCCTTCTGAAACTATTCCAATCAATAGAAAAAGAGGGAATCCTCCCTAACTCATTTTATGAGGCCAGCATCATTCTGATACCAAAGCCGGGCAGAGACACAACCAAAAAAGAGAATTTTAGACCAATATCCTTGATGAACATTGATGCAAAAATCCTCAATAAAATAATGGCAAACTGAATCCAGCAGCACATCAAAAAGCTTATCCACCATGATCAAGTGGGCTTCATCCCTGGGATGCAAGGCTGGTTCAATATACGCAAATCAATAAATGTAATCCAGCATATAAACAGAGCCAAAGACAAAAACCACATGACAATCTCAATAGATGCAGAAAAAGCCTTTGACAAAATTCAAAAACCCTTCATGCTAAAAACTCTCAATAAATTAGGTATTCATGGGACGTATTTCAAAATAATAAGAGCTATCTATGACAAACCCACAGCCAATATCATACTGAATGGGCAAAAACTGGAAGCATTCCCTTTGAAAACTGGCACAAGACAGGGATGCCCTCTCTCACCGCTCCTATTCAACATAGTGTTGGAAGTTCTGGCCAGGGCAATCAGGCAGGAGGAGGAAATAAAGGGTATTCAATTAGGAAAAGAGGAAGTCAAATTGTCCCTGTTTGCAGACGACATGATTGTTTATCTAGAAAACCCCATTGTCTCAGCCCAAAATCTCCTTAAGCTGATAAGCAACTTCAGCAAAGTCTCAGGATACAAAATCAATGTACAAAAATCACAAGCATTCTTATACACCAACAACAGACAAACAGAGAGCCAAATCATGAGTGAACTCCCATTCACAATTGCTTCAAAGAGAATAAAATACCTAGGAATCCAACTTACAAGGGATGTGAAGGACCTCTTCAAGGAGAACTACAAACCACTGCTCAAGGAAATAAAAGAGGACACAAACAAATGGAAGAACATTCCATACTCATGGGTAGGAAGAATCAATATCGTGAAAATGGCCATACTGCCCAAGGTAATTTACAGATTCAATGCCATCCCCATCAAGCTACCAATGACTTTCTTCACAGAATTGGAAAAAACTACTTTAAAGTTTATATGGAACCAAAAAAGAGCCCGCATCGCCAAGTCAATCCTAAGCCAAAAGAACAAAGCTGGAGGCATCACACTACCTGATTTCAAACTATGCTACAAGGCTACAGTAACCAAAACAGCATGGTACTGGTACCAAAACAGAGATATAGATCAATGGAACAGAACAGAGCCCTCAGAAATAATGCCGCATATCTACAACTATCTGATCTTTGACAAACCTGAGAAAAACAAGCAATGGGGAAAGGATTCCCTATTTAATAAATGGTGCTGGGAAAACAGGCTAGCCATATGTAGAAAGCTGAAACTGGATCCCTTCCTTACACCTTATACAAAAATCAATTCAAGATGGATTAAAGATTTAAACGTTAGACCTAAAACCATAAAAACCCTAGAAGAAAACCTAGGCATTACCATTCAGGACATAGGCGTGGGCAAGGACTTCATGTCCAAAACACCAAAAGCAATGGCAACAAAAGCCAAAATTGACAAATGGGATCTAATTAAACTAAAGAGCTTCTGCACAGCAAAAGAAACTACCATCAGAGTGAACAGGCAACCTACAACATGGGAGAAAATTTTCGCAACCTACTCATCTGACAAAGGGCTAATATCCAGAATCTACAATGAACTCAAACAAATTTACAAGAAAAAAACAAACAACCCCATCAAAAAGTGGGCGAAGGACATGAACAGACACTTCTCAAAAGAAGACATTTATGCAGCCAAAAAACACATGAAGAAATGCTCATCATCACTGGCCATCAGAGAAATGCAAATCAAAACCACTATGAGATATCATCTCACACCAGTTAGAATGGCAATCATTAAAAAGTCAGGAAACAACAGGTGCTGGAGAGGATGTGGAGAAATAGGAACACTTTGACACTGTTGGTGGGACTGTAAACTAGTTCAACCATTGTGGAAGTCAGTGTGGCAATTCCTCAGGGATCTAGAACTAGAAATACCATTTGACCCAGCCATCCCATTACTGGGTATATACCCAAAGGACTATAAATCATGCTGCTATAAAGACACATGCACATGTATGTTTATTGCGGCACTATTCACAATAGCAAAGACTTGGAACCAACCCAAATGTCCAACAATGATAGACTGGATTAAGAAAATGTGGCACATATACACCATGGAATACTATGCAGCCATAAAAAATGATGAGTTCATGTCCTTTGTAGGGACATGGATGAAATTGGAAACCATCATTCTCAGTAAACTATCGCAAGAACAAAAAACCAAACACTGCATATTCTCACTCATAGGTGGGAATTGAACAATGAGATCACATGGACACAGGAAGGGGAATATCACACTCTGGGGACGGTGGTGGGGTCGGGGGAGGGGGGAGGGATAGCATTGGGAGATATACCTAATGCTAGATGACACGTTAGTGGGTGCAGCGCACCAGCATGGCACATGTATACATATGTAACTAACCTGCACAATGTGCACATGTACCCTAAAACTTAGAGTATAATAAAAAAAAATAAACATTAAAAATAAAAAATAAAAAATAAAAAATAAAAAATAAAGAAGTTCAGGGTAGAATTATTAGAATATTAATATAAAAACTTGTTATGAATAATACATACATATAATATGGTAAAATGCTTTAATTTTATGCATTTAAATACTTATATTTTGCATTTTAATTATATATACTATTATTTATATTCTATCTAATCACATATATAATACCAATAATATTATTATTACATGTAATTACTTATGCATACTTATAATAAAATGGCATATTTATAATATACATAATATTAATATTACATTATGTTTACAATATCATTTGTTTTTTCTATTTACTAATCTGGCTGCATATTATTTTAGTTATGGCACAATTGCAAACAAAATAAAACATTACTGAAAAGTTAAATAAAAAGAATACAAGGAAATAGACCATTAAAGACATCACCAATATTACTAACTTAGAAGTCG
The DNA here is from genome assembly GCF_000001405.40 of Homo sapiens. Taxonomy (NCBI): domain Eukaryota; kingdom Metazoa; phylum Chordata; class Mammalia; order Primates; family Hominidae; genus Homo; species Homo sapiens. The sequence goes on along the minus strand of NC_000003.12, from coordinate 90,169,108 downwards.
CATGTTAAAGATCCATGTTATCTTAAAGTATATTGAAATATTTTAAATGTGATTCTCATGTTTACTATAGACTAGCCCATAGCATTCTGGTAAAGTCTTTAATTTTCTTATTTTGGTTAACACGTTGATTACCCCAATGTCTTCCTTCAAATTCTATGGAGTACACTTCAAAGTTTGACAAAATTCAAACTTTGACTTTTCCATTTCTACATTTAAAGTTGTGTAAAAAATATATTTGATTATGAACTTTTCAGCTATAAAAATTATGTTTAACTACATCTACTTGTAAGTAGTTCACTTTCCAGATTGTTATAATATTATTTGCATCTTTTCAGATGGACAGACTGATTCTGAGAGGGTATGAGTCTCATAATTTCAATTTCAATTTTGGAAAAGTGGGCAAAGATGAACTTTGATGCATCCTGAAGTCCCCTGTCTTGTTCTTCATACCAACTGCTTTCAGGCCATAGCCTGTTAAAATTCCTTTAACTCACTGGAACTGCTAGTTTTCTCAGGAGTATTTTCTGCAAGTAATGAATGTTAAAGTCATGCTTAGCAGCACTGGTGGCATTTCGGTCATAATTGATGGGATTAGGGGGTATGGTATTATGGCAGTTACCTCCGTAATCTGACCATGTAGATAAATGCCTGCTCTACTCACAATTTCAACCTTGCATTATTTTGTTTATTAGTAGAGTGCCTCTTTTGAATAAGGATTTGTAACAGCTATAATGTTTTTTTTCTAGATATGTAAAATTTTCATAAATCTAAAATCTGAAATATTTTGGGAATAACAATTCCATAATGTTTTTTAATCTGTATGTGTTAGTTCTTTGTTCTCTTTCAGATTTACCTCTTTGAGACTGACAAACACTTGGCATTATAAGTAAATGTTTTCTGAAGATTTATATTGCTTTTCTAAAATCAAAGTATTTAAATATATATGTATCTTATTTAAATTTATTTATTTAAAATATATATAATTTAAATATCTTAGAAATGGAAATAAACACTTAGGTTAAAGCAATTCATCCTCCATCAGCCAATCAATAAACACTGAGCTCCGTTCTAGGCTAGAACTATGCAGATTCCACAGTTACTTTAGGACATAGTCCCTGCTCTAGTTGATCAAATGTTACAAGAAAACTTCAGAATGGTTGCAGGGCATTTTTCTTTCAACATTTCCAGAATAGCAAACAAAAAGCCCAATAAAAGAAAGAACTCTATTTTTAATCATTATTTTGTTTAAAAACATTATTGTTATGCCTGAGAACCTGCTATACTGCATACTTGTAGTATCACTGAAGAAATAAGCCTTATTTCAGTGAATGTCAATTGTAAAGCTGAGAAAAGTTAAAAAGCACTTGGCGGGATCTACTGATTTGTGTTTTCTCAAAGCCTCCTCTTATATTAGGCTGTTTCTAACTTCAGTTGGGTAAAAGTGTAAAGTTTCTAACTACATATTGTAAAACTGATACGGTAAATATTCTATTTATTTTCTGTTAAATTGTGTATTCCATTTTCCTCCCAAACTCAGTGACCTTATGATTTATGCTTTTTTCCCATATGAGGCAGTGGTTCTTGACCTTGGGTGCACATTAGGATGACCTGGGGAACATTTAAAACACATGGACTCAGCAGCTGTCATAGAGGTTCTTACTTAATTGGATTAGGAGGAGCCCTGGCATCTGTACAAAATAAAATCCCACAAGGCAATTTTAATATGCAATCAGGACTGAGAATCACCGGTAGGAGGGGAAGGGGTTTTATTTAAATTATCTGGAAAATCCGATCACTGGGAATATTAATACATCCTGTGTGCATAGTGACACAGCATATGTTTTGAAAAAGCTCTCCTACCAATTCTAAGCACTGCAAGCAACCCCAGTGTGAGGAAATAAGTTCTTCACGTGCTTGGTTGTGTTGTCCATTTGCAGCTCTTTGGAAAAATCATGTTGGGAAGACGTTGGTTTATAAAGTTCCATAACCATCAGTCAATGTCAGCGAATTATCTCTGCACCTCTTGACATATTAACACTTTAGTTTAATTAGTTATTAAATGTACAGCTGAGATGAAGAACCTTTGTAATCAGAATACAAGACAGATATGTTTTGATGAGGACAATGGGGAAACCTAGAAGGCTTAAATAGTACTGGTGTCCTATCACCTATGGAGATGAATTGCTAGAAAAAGGAAATGTCAGCTTCATTAATTGTACTTAGAGTCAATCCTTCATCTATTTTTTCATCAGTACCTCAAAATTTTATTTAGAAAACTGTTCCTGTTGGGTCACTAAATACAATAACAACTTTGTCACTGACTATGGCCAAACTCAATCACTTTGGAGCATTCAGTTTTTCTTATTGTTTCTACCAACATCAATTAATCTTAACTTTTCAATAGTAATTTATAATAACAAAGAGATTTGGAGAAAAAATGTTATTTCTTTTTTATATTGGATTCAACACTGTGTACAGATGAGGCTATGTGATGGCTAATTTTATGTGTTAACTTGGCCAGGTCTTGATGCCTAGATATTTGGTTAAACATTATTCTGGATGTTGCTGTGAATGTGTTTTTTGGAAGAGATTAACATTTAAATTGGTTGACTCTGAGTAAAGCAGATTGCCCTCCATAATGCATGTGGGTCTCATTCAATCAGTTGAAGACCTTCATAGAACAAAGATTGACCTCTCATAAGCAAGAAGGTATTCTGCCAGCAGACTGCCTTTGATCTTGAACTGCAGTTCTTCCAAGGGTCTCCAGACTGTGGCCTACCCTGCAAATTTTGGACTTATCAAGCCACTATAACCATGTGAACCAATTCCTTAAAATAAATCTCTCTCCTCTCTCCCTTTCTCTCTCTCTCTCTCTATATATATATGTATATAATACATATACACACATATTATATAGATCTATCTATATATTATATAGATATACAGAATATATAGCGATATAGATCTATATTAATATATCTATAGAAAGATATAGGTCTATATTGATTTATCTATAAATAGATCTGTTTATCTCTCTATGTAATCTACATATATTCTGTTGACTCTCTTTCTCTGGAGAGCTCTGACTAATACAGGCCATACTAAAGATATGGACAGTATGGTGGTTACTGTGGGCCCATCTGTCTCCACTTCTGGTCATCCAGACCAGTGATATGAATATTCCATTGGAACTTGTTAGAAATGGCAATCTTTGGGCTTTATTCTAGACCTACTAATTCAGAAACTGTGGCTGCGGCTTGCAATCTTTGTTTTAACAAGTCCTCCCTGTAATTCCTAAGCACACTAAAGACTAAGGACAACAGTTACTATGGTTTGAATGTCTGTGTCTCTCCAAAATTCATATGTTGGAACTTAAACCCCAAAGAAGGTGGGGTCTTTGGTGGTGGTTAGATCCTGAGGAGGTCGACCTTTATACATGGGATTCATCCCCTTATAAAAGGGCTGAAGGAGACTATATAGGCCCTCCTTTTGCCCCTCTGCCTTCTACCATGTGAGGACACAGCAACAAGGCACCATCTTGGAAGCAGAGAGCTAGCCTTCACCAGACACCCAATTTGCTAGTGTCTTGATCTTGGACTTCCCAGACTCGAGAACTGTGAGAAACAAATTTCTGTTGTTTATAAAGAACCCAGTCGTGGTATTTTCTTCTAGCAGTAGGAATGAACTGAGACAACAGTCATAGGTCATAGAGGACTTTGGAAATTAGCATAAACTACCTGCAATCTCACTCTGACTCTGTTTTCTAGAGGTAATCCATCTAGGTAAGAAGGGACATAGATCAGTGGTTCTTAAGCTTGGCTACACATTCAAAATATCAGAAGCTTTGAAAAACCCGTGACTGCATTGCAGCCTACACCAGTTATGAATATTTCTAAAGTGTGTCCAGGTGATGCCAATGTGCAGCCAATTTTAATAACCAGTAGCATACATAAATCAGATATGTTTGCCATTGGTAATAGAGGAAACAGTTATAGTGTTAAATGATCAAAATATCCTCTGAATAACTATAAATTATGAAATATAATAATCATAACTAGCATATATTTTAAGTTATACATATTAACTTATTTAATCTTAATAATAACCTTATACTCATCCTCCTTTAGCAATTGAGGCAAGAGAGATGCAGAAAGGTTAAGTTGGCAAAAGTGATGGTGACAAAACAGGGACTGACTTGATCTCAGGTACTCTGCTCCAGAGCTTGTGCTCGTTGCTATTAGCCACCACTACCTTGCAAATATTAGCTGATGTGGGTGAATGCATGCTTTTCCTGCAATTGACTCACAACTTGAAGAAAACTGGCATTTGTGATCATTGCTAATTTCCTATCAGTGATCTACGCAGACATGAAAGGAGATTGCTAACCAAAAGGCCAGGACATAACTCACCACTCCTCAATCATTTAAACAAAAATGGAATCCTGGAAAATATCTCAAACTAGAAAAAAAATCTGAATGATGAGAAAAGGTTTTTGTGTTAAGCCCAGAGGAACAAAAAATGAGCAGGCTCTGGTTGGTGACAAGGAACTATCTTCTCGATTCATGTTAATAGCCTGGCATGGCCTAGCTTCTTCATTAATGGAGCCATATGGTGTCATCAATGATGAATTTATGTGGGGAAAAACATACTCACAGTTTTGAAAATGTTTTAAATCAATTGTTGCATGCTGCAGTTCATGACTAGTGTGTGTGATGCAAAGGAAAATACTGCATTTGCTTTAAGCGCCTATTAAATTTTGGAATCTTTAAAATATAATATCCACTAAATCCACTTAATGTTCACCATGTTAATTAAGTTTGGCACTTTTTCTGTTTTATTTATCATTTTACACATAATTAAATTTGGAGTCTGGTCATAGCCATTGGGTACAGAATCATTTACAGATGTCTGTATGCCAAGTTTTTAATTCAACTTGCCAGTATGAGGGTCTGATTTGGGGGAATAAAACAAAACAAAACAAAACAAAAACAAAAACAAAGGAACAGTTGAAGAACAACTACAGTGATAGCATTGTAGACTTCGAACATCAATCTGACTGAAATTCTGAATTAACATGATCTTAGTTTTACTTGAGCTTTCTATACAACAATGATTGATTCTACAATATGGATTTGTCTTACACTTAATTGTGAGCTATTTGTGTTGCTGGGTGGTAAAAATTTGCTGAGTAATTCCCATCCTGTAAAAGAAAAACTCACAAACATAAAGCTTGGTATGTATTCTATCTAATGATTTAGTCTCAAACTCAGAAAAAAAAAAACAACAACATTTTTTCAGTTTTGAGATGGCACTTGGTGCTTATTTACATTATGGGTTTTTGTAATTTACACTTTGAAACATTCTTTAAGTGCCTTAGAATCCTTGGTTGAATATTTTGTTTTGTCCTTATAAAAGAGAGCCTCTGAAGAAATTGATTGGTTTACTTTGAAAATGTACCATTTCTTCAGTGTACATTAGGCAGACATAGAAATCTATTCTTGGCAATCACATCACAAGAATTCCTATGAAAACGTCTATACTGGAGAAACAGCTGGCCTATTTCCTGTTAATTGTAAAATTATTGGTTGCAGAATAAAGAATAGCACTGGTAATCTTTTCCTTAATCAAGCTCTTAACTTCATCTGCTGTTTATTTGCTGAGAAGCAGAAATCTAAGTTATTGCTTTTGTTCCGAACTCAGTGAAACAGTGTCTTTAAAGTATCAAATATAAAGAAAAAAATATAAAATTTCTCCCCAAATAATAGGAATCCAAGAAGGTACAATACCTACAAAGTAAATTGATTTTCCCAATTAATTTATCTGCAATCGTTTGTTAAACCTAACATATTTTTTCTTAAATAGGAGCAAATAATAATGGACGCAGGCCATCTACTTATTTTCATTAGCTATTAATTTATCAATAAATTCACAGAACTTTATACATTAATAAAATGATTCCTTTTAAATTTAATTTTTTAAATTGACAACTAATAATTGTACATACTCATGTGGTACCTAGTGATGTTTCAATGCATATAATGTATAGTGATCAGATCAGGGTAATTAACATACCCATGTAAAACATTTATTTGTGTTGAGAATGTTCAATATCCTCTTTTTAGCTATTTGAAATTATGTATTATTGTTAACTACAGTCATCTGACAATGGCATAGAGCAGGCGTCCCCAACCCCCGGGCCACAGACAGGTACTGGTCCATATCCTGTTAGGAACTGGGCTGCGCAGCAGGAGGTGAGCGGCAGTTGAGCGAGCATTATCACTTGAGCTCAGCCTCCTGTCAGATTAGTGGTGGCATTAGATTCTCATAGGAGAGAGAACCCTATTGTGAACCCGAGAACCCTATTGTGAACCATGCATGCAAGGGATATAGGTTGCATGCTCCTTATGAGACTCTAATGCCTGATGATCTGAGGTGGGCCAGTCTCATCCTGAAACCATCTCCCCCACCACCAATCTGTGGAAAAATTGTCCTGTCCCTGGTGCCAAAAAGTTTGGGGACTGCTGGCATAGAGCATTGGAACTTATTCCTCCTATCTAGCTGTAATTTTGTATCCTTTAACAAATCTCTCCCTATCCTTCCCTTCCCTCTACCCTTCCCAGCCTGCAGTATCTTCTGTTCTAGTTTTCACTTCTACAAAATCAACTTTTTTTTTTTCAGCTTCCACATATTAGCGAGAACATGCAATGTTTAACTTTTTGTTCATGGCTTATTTCACTTTTGTATTGTTATTCTCTTTGGGTGTATGTTGCAGAAAGAAAGAGACAGAGAAGGAGAGAGATGGTTTTAGTTCTTAATTTGGGGTAATTTAGACACACATATCTTTACATAAGATAGATCATTATTAAAATAGAATAGCACATGACTTACCATATTAGTCCATTCTCACATTGCTATGAAGAAATACCCAAGACTGCGTAATTTATAAACAAAAGAGGTTTAATTGACTCACAGTTCCACATGGCTGGGGAGGCATCAGGAAACTTACAATCATGGTGGAAGGCACCTCTTTACAGGGTGGCAGAAGAGAGAATGAGTGCTGAGCGAGGGGGGAGGTCCTTTTTAAAACTATCCGATCTTGTGAGATCTCACTCACTATCACCAGAACAGCATGTGGGAAAACGCTTCCATGATTCCATTATCTCCATCTGCTCCCGCCCTTGACACATGGGGATTATTACAATTCAAGGTGAGATTTGATTGGGGACACAGCCAAACCATATCACTTACCATTCTGTGTGGGGATGGATGTTGGCTTTTGAACCTTTCATTTCTTTATTTTGATTACTATTTAGTAGAAAGTGACACAAAATTAATGCTCCTGAAAGGGTAACATAAATTTTACTGGTTAAGATAGAATTCTAGTTCTTATTAAAAGGACGATGTGTATATATCATGAGGAATTGCTTTCATTTTCTAAAAATGAAAGTTTTGCTAAGAAATTCAGTCTCATGTTTATGTCACTTTTACTTACTCTATGTCAGGAAGAAGGAAGAAGTCATTGCTGATATAGTTTAGCGCAATAATGTCTGTATAAGCATACTGTAAACAGCAACACACTTTTTAAATTTAGGGCACTATATTGATTTTTTAAAAACACCCAAAACCCACAAATACCTCTGACAAAGTAAGTGATCCATTTGAAGGTACTAGAATATTAATCTTTCAGCAATGGTATGAGGCAGTAGGCAACTTTGAAAGCAGATGATTAATTTCTTGAAGAAAAATCTCAGCAAATATATTATTTATATGGCTTCATCATATTTCTCTCTTCTCTTCCTTGTCTTTTTTCCCTGATGTATTAGCAGTTTATATGACACTGTCCAATTTAGTTAGTCCCTGAATGTATCAACTTCTAATGATTAATAAAAGTTAAAAAATTCAAATATACTTTGAATTAACCTGGCATTGTCTTTGTAACAATAGAATTTTTAGTATACTAGAGCAGACAACACAGATGTGAGGCCCTTAAAAATGTAAATAAAAGGACAAATATTGAGTACAAAGGAGCAGTTTAATGTACTGGCTAAGAGCATGAACTCTGGAGTCATAGTGTCTCTATTCAAATTCTAGTTCTTCCAGTCACTAATGTGCAACCTTTAGCAATTAAACAATGTGCACCTCAGTTTCCTTCCCTGAGAAATGGGACTCACAATGCACTTACCTTATAGAGTGTTTGCAAAGATTAAATAAGTTGACACATGTAAAATGTGCAAGCTTTAACTCTATTTAAAAATAATAAATTAGAAAAGCACTTAAAATTGATGACATGTGCAAAAGGCTGGATTTAGTTCATAACCTTGAGAACAGGATAGAAGAGAAACAAAGGGATTTCATGCTGTGGTTGGGAGGGAGGGTTAGAGAGAGGAAAATAATTCTTTCTATTAACTATGAAAGCTTCAAGGAGGAATGAGGAAGACAGGAGAGGTTGATATTGTAGGCTGCTGAGGAGAACTTTTGGAAAAGAGTGAAAAAAGTGGAACAGGCATTGAAACCTAGGGAGAGATCATTGTAAACTCAAATGGGACATACACAAAATAGGTTTTAGACTTAATCAGAAATGTTATGGAAAGCTATTTTAAGACTTAGAGTTAAAGTCAAGTGAGTCATGGGGTAAAGAAGAGAAAGGATTAACTGTGGCTTTGGTAGTGAGAAGAAGTTTTGTACAAAGCAGTTACTGAGGTAGAATATGTATGTAGAAACAATAGATTTTGTCAATAGAATATATATGTAATGTATGAATATGAATATATATAATGTATATATAGGCATACATATATATACACATATATATTTATAAAGAACATAAGTTTAATTGACTCACAGTTCTGCATGGCTGGGGAGGCCTCAGGAAACTTACAATCATAGTGGAAGGCACCTCTTCACAAGGTGGCAGGAGAGAGAATGAGTGTTGAGTGACGGCGGAAGCACCTATGTAAGTATAGGGGTATATATTATATGTACATATATACATATTATATGATACACATATGATAGATAAGGACAAGTATTCATCAAAAATTAACTATAGGAAACTCATACTCCATAGTGTGAGGCCTAAACATTTTTGTGGCCTCTGTCCACATTTGTGTTGTTTTGTTGAGTGAATACTTGAAGACAAGTTATAATCTCCTAATAAGTGTGGCATGATTTGATAAATTATAAAAAGTCTGCTTTTTCTGCGGAAATATATTTCAATAATTGAATCATAATTTATTTTGTATAAAATACCCATTAATTTTAGCATAGCAAGTCCATCTGTCAAAAATTAACAGTGTCCTAAATTTGAGAGTACTTTTTAAGACTGATACATAGATTATATTGTACTTCTGGATTCCCCATTTGATTGATATTGTATGCCAGTTTCAGAAGTTTAGAAGCAAGTGCAAATGAATATAACTTTATTTCTATTTTTCTAAATTGCTTAAGATGAGCCTTATCAAGTTGGACAAACAACTTTAATAGTGGGAAACAATAGTATTTCATTGTGAAGGGAGAATTTGGCACTTTAGCAAAGGATTATTTCATAACCTCCATATATTAGCTGGTGCAAAAGCGATTGTGTTTTTTGTCATTAAATGTAAAGGCAAAAACCACAATCGCTTTGGCACCAACATATTATACCTTGGCACCTAGTTGAAGAAACATGTTGAGAACTGCTTCTGCACTGTGTGTGGTGGAGTGGAGAAGAAATGAGCAAAAGGGAAAGACCTGTAAGTTACACAAAACCTAGAAAACTTTAGCTAATAGGGGAAGGGCTGGCAGTAAAAAGTGATATCCAAATAGAAATGTGGCCAAATTATACCTATTTTGATACGCATAACTACTCAAGGTGAGTCTTGTTAAAGGTTGTAGGATAATTCACTCACCAGGTGAAGATGACTGGCAGCAATCAGAGACCCCAGCTAAGGTTCTGCTGGGACTAATGATGCTATTTTGCTAATTGCTTCTCTCTCTTTTTCCCATCTAACCTTAAATTATAGTAAGAACCTCAGGGACCTTGAGATCTGGATGAAATATTGGCAACACGTGGCTGGTAGTGATGGGCGATAGGTGAGAAGGCTCTGGTGTGATGGTGGTAGTAGGTGTAGTAGTAGGGCTCTTTAACTTAAAGCACAGGCAGGAACTGCAAGAAGAGACTAACATTTCTAGATTTTGCCACCATTGACCAGATTGATAAATTTCTGTTCGGTTTGACTTGCAGTAAACTGTCAGCTGATCTGGGTTGATTAGCTCAGGTAGATATTAATCCTGATGGGAGTCAATCAGGAAAAGGGGAGTAGGATTAGAGGTGATGGGTGTTGTCAAGATATTTTTTGTGTATCAAGTGGCCCTTTCATCCACGTAAAATGGAAGGGTCAGCATAATAGAAACCACATTGTGTTCTACTTCCATCTTTAAAAGATTTGTCTTCCTAGTCAGAAGAAGAGAAATTCTCCAATCTATTCTTATACATTTTTTCCTTTTCAGAGGTCAGTATAATTATTCTCAAGTCAAAATAACCATATTTTTACTGGTAGAGTTTTCTTTGAGGTGCAAAGCAATCAGATGTGGGAAGAGTGTATCTCAAAATGGCTACAAAATAGAGAAATAGCTAAACAATAGCTTTCTTCTTCATGGTAAAAATAATCATACTGCTTAGATGAAGAAGTTGTAGAAAAGGCCTTTGACAAAATTCAACAACCCTTCATGCAAAAAACTCTCAATAAATTAGGTATTGATGGGACGTATCTCAAAATAATAAAGAGCTATCTATGACAAACCCACAGCCAATATCATACTGAATGGGCAAAAACTGGAAGCATTCCCTTTGAAAACTGGCACAAGACAGGGATGCCCTCTCTCACCACTCCTATTCAACATAGTGTTGGAAGTTCTGGCTAGGGCAATTAGGAAGGAGAAGGAAATAAAGGGTATTCAATTAGGAAAAGAGGAAGTCAGATTGTCCCTGTTTGCAGACTACATGATGGTATATCTAGAAAACCCCATTGTCTCAGCCCCAAATCTCCTTAAGCTGATAAGCAACTTCAGCAAAGTCTCAGGATACAAAATCAATGTACAAAAATCACAAGCATTCTTATACACCAACAACAGACAAACAGAGAGCCAAATCATGAGTGAACTCCCATTCACAATTGCTTCAAAGAGAATAAAATACCTAGGAATTCAACTTACAAAGGACATGAGGGACCTCTTTAAGGAGAACTACAAACCACTGCTTAAGGAAATAAAAGAGGATACAAACAAATGGAAGAACATTCCATGTTCATGGGTAGGAAGAATCAATATTGTGAAAATGGTCATACTGCCCAAGGTAATTTACAGATTCAATGCCATCCCCATCAAGCTACCAATGACTTTCTTCACAGAATTGGAAAAAACTACTTTAAAGTTCATATGGAACCAAAAAAGAGCCCTCATCACCAAGTCAATCCTAAGCCAAAAGAACAAAGCTGGAGGCATCAAACTACCTGACTTCAAACTATACTACAAGGCTACAGTAACCAAAACAGCATGGTACTGGTACCAAAACAGAGATATAGATCAATGGAACAGAACAGAGCCTTCAGAAATAACGCCACATATCTAAAAGTATCTGAGCTTTGACAAACCTGAGAAAAACAAGCAATGGGGAAAGGATTCCCTATTTAATAAATGGTGCTGGGAAAACTGGCTAGCCATATGTAGAAAGCTGAAACTGGATCCCTTCCTTACACCTTATACAAAAATCAATTCAAGATGGATTAAAGACTTAAACGTTAGACCTAAAACCATAAAAAACCCTAGAAGAAAACCTAGGCATTACCATTCAGGACATAGGCATGTGCAAGGACTTCATGTCTAAAACACCAAAAGCAATGGCAACAAAAGACAAAATTGACAAATGGGATCTAATGAAACTAAAGAGCTTCTGTACAGCAAAAGAAACTACCATCAGAGTGAACAGGCAACCTACAAAATGGGAGAAAATTTTCACAATCTACTCATCTGACAAAGGGCTAATATCCAGAATCTACAATGAACTCCAACAAATTTACAAGAAAAAAACAAACAACCCCATCAAAAAGTGGGCAAAGGACATGAAAAGACACTTCTCAAAAGAAGACATTTATGCAGCCAAAAAACACATGAAAAAATGCTCACCATCACTGGCCATCAGAGAAATGCAAATCAAAACCACAATGAGATACCATCTCACACCAGTTAGAATGGCAATCATTAAAAAGTCAGGAAACAACAGGTGCTGGAGAGGATGTGGAGAAATAGGAACACTTTGACACTGTTGGTGGGACTGTAAACTAGTTCAACCATTGTGGAAGTCAGTGTGGCGATTCCTCAGGGATCTAGAACTAGAAATACCATTTGACCCAGCCATCCCATTACTGGGTATATACCCAAAGGACTATAAATCATGCTGCTATAAAGACACATGCACAAGTATGTTTACTGCGGCATTATTCACAATAGAAAAGACTTGGAAACACCCAAATGTCCAACAATGATAGACTGGATTAAGAAAATGTGGCACATATACACCATGGAATACTATGTAGCCATAAAAAATGATGAGTTCATGTCCTTTGTAGGGACATGGATGAAATTGGAAATCATCATTCTCAGTAAACTATCACAAGAACAAAAAACCAAACACCGCATATTCTCACTCATCGGTGGGAATTGAACAATGAGAACACATGGACACAGGAAAGGGAACATCACACTCTGAGGACTATTGTGGGGTGGGGGGAGGGGGGAGGGATAGCACTGGGAGATATACCTAATGCTAGATGATGAGTTAGTGGGTGCAGAGCACCAGCATGGCACATGTATACATATGTAACTAACCTGGACATTGTGTACATGTACCCTAAAACTTAAAGTATAATAATAATAAATAAAATAAAATAAAATAGAAAATAAAAAAAAGAAGTTGTAAATGTTTCACATACACTAGTTGAAGATTTCTATTTTATCTAGTAGATTTATACTTGAAGTCGTAAAAATGATCCTGAAACTTTTGGTTTTATTTTGGTTATCAAATTTAGTGTTTCTTTGTTGTTATTAAGAACACCTGTCTTCCCAGTTAGATGGTAACATCGCTTCCTTTCTATGTGTCTAGCATAGGTCTCTTCACTTGCTTAATTGATGTCAGTTGAATTGGAATCTTCTTAGTTCTCTACTTTTTAAATGGTGGTTCAGTACTAAAACCTTTTCTTCATTAAAAATCCTCATGTCTCAGTTGAACAGTTTTTTTTTTTTTTTTGGTCTTGAAGTTGTAAAAGTATTAGATTCTTTTATAGACCTGTCTATGCCCTGCTTTTAATGATTTTTACCTATAGTGAATTCAGGGAGTTTCTGAAGGAGTTTTCACTGAGTATTACAGATTTAGACTCTTTAACCATGGGATGTAAACTGTTCTTTTACGTTGGCGGTGCTTGAGGCCAGTCCTTTGTTACGAATCCTCTTGACCTCTACCATAATTTTAAACTGAAGGTGAATTACCAGATGATTAACACTGTGATTTGTCTTAGGAAATAAGGAAAGAAGATTCAATGATCATATTTTCTTTAATATGTTTCTTCAGCCTTAAATTAAATCAAAGATGATGTTTATAAAAGACCCACTTTAGATAACGTACATGCTAATACAGAGTTTTGGTATGACTAGCCGAAAGTCTATTTCTTTCTTTGAAATATCCTATTTAGGGTATCCTAATCTGGAGTCCATATTTTGTAGGGCAATTAAACTATGCATTATTTTCTAGACAATATTTATTTCTGATTCAAAGGAGATACAAAGAAAAGGCTCTAAATGCTCTGTCTCCTAGTACTTTTCTCTCATCTCTTTGTACTTCTCTTCATCCTCTCCCTTGGCTCTCAGTAGAGTAAGCTCCTTTGTGCTTTCAGGTTTTTCACCAAAACTCACCTTCACATTGAGTCACCCCAGTCAACATTAACATCTCAATCTTCCATCTTCACACTTCATGTCCTCCCTCCTTAACTTTATCTTTTTCTCCTTAGAGCTGTTTACAATCTAACACATCACATATGTGATTGAGTAATTAGTTTTCTATCTTCCACACCATAATTTAAGCTCCATGAGAGCAAGGTATTGTGTGCTATCATATTCATACTGCCTAGTAGTGTGTTGGCACATCTAACTATTCTGTAAATGTTGGCTAATTTAATGATTGAAAAAAGAATGATTGTCATGTCTGAACAAATGGCTAAATTTTTCCTTCTTTGAGTGTAGTCTATGCTGAATGTAAATTTCTCCTGTGTAAGGCTAAACTAAGAATTTTTGGAAGGCATACAATTAGTTAGAACCTCTATGGTATTTGAAATCATCACTGTAAATTGAGGGTCAATATATTAAAATGTACATGTATTAGCTTGTAAGAAACTTGGATAAGAAAATTATATTATTTGTCATATGGCTTTCTTTTTTTGGCTTTCTTTATTTTTGTTCTGAGGAATAGATAAATAAATCAGCAGAAAAATATTTAGATAGGTGGTATGCAATGGCACTATTGGGAAATGTATTTGATGACTTACAATAAACCATATTCCAAGTAAATTATAATTGCTGCCCAGGAGAGAAAAAAACCCAGAAATTAATTTCACCTTTATTTGATGGGAATCGTGTGCACATAATGCACTTGACAAAAAATAATCACAAAGTAGAGGTAGAATGATTCACAGCAAAATATTTATAATTTCACAATTGGGTACAAGTCAAATGTGAGTCTGCCTAAAATGGAGGGAAGTCATAACATTTTTCAAAAGCAATTACTAGAAATAATACAAATTGACTTTTTCTTTTTTTTTTTTTTTGAGATGGAGTCTCACTCTGTCGCCCAGGCTGGGGTGCAGTGGCACGATCCGGGCTCACCGTAACCTCTGCCTTCCGGGTTCAAGGGATTCTCCTGCCTCAGCCTCCCGAGTAGCTGGGATTACAGGTGCCCACCACCACGCCTGACTAATTTTTTGTATTTTTCGTATAGATGAGGTTTCACTATGTTAGCCAGGTTGGTCTCAAAGTCCTGACATCAGGGGACCCACCTGCCCCGGCCTCCCAAAGTGCTGGGATTACAGGCGTGAGCCGCTGCGCCCGGCCCAAACTGACTTTTTCTTTTTGAGCTTGTTCCTTAAACTGTGCACCATGCTAAGGACTTTGCACATGTTAACACACTAAATCCTCCAAACCGTGAGGTAGGTACTATTTTTTCTATTTTGCAAGTGAGAAAATTGAATCTCAGAGGGGTTATGCATCTTTCCTAGTTAGGCAGCTGCTAAATGGTAGGACACCTAAACTTAACTCTTAAGTACGCAACATATTACTGTGCACTGAGGCCTTAACTTGAATGCTAGACCTAATAGCCATTTTTGGCGATTTGAGCTCAACTCCATGAGGTATTCCAACATCTTTGGAATGTCCCTTAGGATCGAATTAGCCAACTGATACTGATAGTGAATGTATCTCATAGCAACTTTTTAACATCCAGTCTTTCATAGTCATCAGAAATAGATAACTTCAAGTCATAGTAAAGTTAGGGTCTTGAATTTGCATTAGTTCTTGAATTAATTTATCCAAATTCTGAAGTCAACGTTTTAAGTAGATTCAGTGTTTGAAAGAGTCACCCTTCTAAAGAATAGACAATACGAAAAGGGAGAAAATAAGTTAAGGGAGACTGCGATTCATAGATGGAGAATCTCCTTGGATCCTGGAGATCAGCCTATCTGTCCCCCTGACAGCGAGATGTTACCAGCTATAGATAGGAACAGAGGGAGCCATATAGCAGTAAAGCAAATGCCAAGCTGGAAAAAAAAATACTAAAAGATTTAGTGTCTGGTGTGAGTGTAGCAAACGTTTGGAAGCAGCGTAGAAATGATGGAGAGCTGTGAGTGTAGAGTCAGAAGAAACGGTCTTGCAAAAACCCACCGTTTGGCCTTTCAGCTTCTGCTTCCCTAGATTATCCTTGCTTTTCATCTTCGTTAGCCGCTCCCGAATGCAGGACTGCCTACATGGTCTTTTCCAACAGATTTGGTCACAGTCGCCAGTTCTGCTGACTCGAATGCTATTAAACAACCAATGATTTCTTTTTTAAAAAAACTCTGGAGAATAAAATATATATATATATATATATATATATATATATATATATATATATATATAATAAACCAATAACTTTTTCCCTCTTTTCTCTCCTTTGTTTAATTTTCCCCGATTGCTCTTAAAACTGTGTCCACTTTTTCCTAGCCGTAAAATTATTCCTATATTGCTGTGTTAGTCATAATCCATTGTGGATTTTATATTTGTGATAGTAATTTAATCTGTTATAGCATAACCATGCTCAATTTGTTTACTTCAGTGACCTACTATACTGGAGTGGTTAAAAAAAAAAAAAAAAAAAAAAAAACCCGAGTTCCCTGATGAGGATATTAAGCCAAATTCCCTCTGTCCAGATGGCTCCTGCTACCAAGCCAGGAAAATGCAGATCCTCCATACTTCCTGCAGATTTGTTTATAGTGGCCCTTGATTGCTATTAATTATCCCCAGCTGTAGCGACTACCTAGCCCTGTCTACCTTCCATCTCTAACACCCTCATTAACCCCTTGGGGTTGGTTCCAGCTTCTCTGTTATCTATTTATTTCTTCCTTGCTTCTTTGCAAAGGAAACAAAACTTTAAGTTTGAGACCTTCCTAGGAAACTGGAAGAACAATAATAATGAGACAATTCTAGGGAGAGCTTCTTTGACTTGTATTTTTCTTAACATCATACTCATGCAACCATATACATCTTCATTTTAAATCACTTTTTAAAGAATAAATTAATTTTGAAGCACCTAATCTATAAAAGACTCAGGTATGCACATATTTTTATCCATTTTAGATTGCTTTTTGGAGTTATTTTAGGGACAATTTTGTCAATTATGTAAGGATTTTTATTACTTGAAGCCTACTCTTGACTACCACCTCCCAATCCTTCTTTGTACTTTCTATTTATGTTAGGTTTTCAAAACACAAACAAATAAAAATATCATAGTGTTAACCATTATGTTCAGAAACTGGATATTTTTGTAATCTGTACTTGAAATAGATGGAATGTTCTGCAAAGGAAAAAAAAAGATGGAATGAAGAAGCAACTAAATTTCATTCTTTTAACACCTGGGTAGAACGTGAAGCAGATATGGTGCCATGAATTAAAGGAAAGTAAAGTAAATGAAAGTGTCTTTTACCTTTGGTGTTTTTCTATCTTCTCTTTTAGTTTTTCTCTTCTTGACTTTAGATATCAAGCTACAAATTTCTTTGAAGATGTTTCAAGTGCCTCTTTGTATTTTAGGAGGGAATTTGATAATAAGCTAAAACAGCCATGGAACATGTTCTAACTGTCAAGTGCTGTGTCATGTACATTACCTGCATTAGCTCTTATTTCTTAAAAAAATAGATACTTAAATTACTCCCATTCACAGAGGGAGACACTGACAGATTGGGTATGAACATCGTCTAGTGTATCTTTAAGAATAACTAAACAAATGCACTATTCAGTCATTTATCTCCAAACAAATGCTCCGAAGCTAAAGCAAGATAGGAAGAAGACTTTACAACCATTACCTTGGGGGAAAAATTATAAACTGGGACCAGGGAGCAAGCTCTTGAATAACAGCAGCAGAAAAGTCTTCAGGCCTATTGTTAGGAGCAGCAATGGAGGGCTCATTGGATTAAAAAGATTTAATCTCATTGCTTTTCCTTTCTAAGGGAGGAAGAACAGATTGGTTTCTGTTTTCTTCTCTGAATGCTAGGAAGAAATTCCCACATAATAGGAATAAATAATATACATTTTTAACCTAAAAAAAAACCATGAAAGCTCTCTGATAAACTTGAAATGCCATAAATGAATGCTCATTGGTAGCAAGTCTTATAATTTGGCCTGCTGAATTATTTTAGAATGTGTGGACAATTTTTCTGGCATTTTGTGACTCAGTTGTTTTTAAATTGCATTAAAACTCAGGCAACGTTGACAGATTTTATTTTGGATCATACATTATTTTGTGGTTACTTTTGCCATCTGGTCTTTTTTTTCTTTTTCCTTTTTCAAAAGCTTTTTATTCTTTGGCTAATCTTAATAGCTTCTCAGTTTAAAAATAACTGTTATCAGATAGTATGCACTTATGGCTTGACCAATGAAACCATCTCTCCAGGAGGGATGTTTTGTTTGTGGGAGCACAGCGTTGCTGAACTAATCCCCATGGTACAAACACACTATCCAAGGCAACACATTGCAGTGTATTTTAAATGAATAGATACATTCCAAAATAGAATGAGGGCTTTGGGGAATTGCCCACATTTAACCAAATAACCAGCTGTGCAAAATGCTAAAACACAATTGATCTACTACGGTATTTGAAAATCATGTAAGGTCATTTAGTTCAATACTCAGATGGCTACCCAGCAGGTCTAGAAGCTTTGCAGGCCCAGCAGTAACTGATATTAGTCATTACTGGAGATGATCAAAAAGGCCGACTGGGCCTTTTTGAATCCAGCTACCATTCTGTTCATGTATTCCTCCCCACAATTCCCCAGATCCTGTAAATTTCCTCCTTAAATTTTGGCTAAGGAGAAGGTTTTTGGTACATTTTTTTTCCCTGGTTCATTTGACTTCTTACTCCTAGATAGGAATAACAAAACTAAACAGACATACAATGGAGCAATGGGGTTTGTATCAAAGGGAAAATAAGAATTTTAGGCAAAAGTATTTTTGTCATCTACTATCTCTTCCTTTCATGTTTTATTAGTTCATTTTTCATGCTTTAGTCAAATTTAATTTATTTGATGAGGTTATACCCCTGAAGTCTGTATTCACTTTTTTTCTTCTAAATAGAAATAAAACTCTTTCACAAATCTTAAATTTCATTGTTATATTCCCTTTGTTTTTTTCTGTGTTGGTTCTTTTCTTTTTTTCTCAGTTCTATTCTAATGAGTTATTCCAGTGAATGAAATATTATCCTGGTTTATATATACCCTTTTTATTTGCCAGTACTGTAGATAAAATCATTAATTTATTAAGAAGAGTCATGCATTCCACTTCAAATTGTACCAGTGTATTTTCAAACTATTTAGAATAGGTTGGTATAAGATGTTGCTGAGTTGATAGCCCTTTGTTTTTTTAGATAGGGGCCCTTATAGCAAACAGAAAAGTATTTCCTTTTGGCATTTTGAGTTGCTAAGGAGCTTTGAAATAATTATTTGAAACATACTTAAGAAATGTAATTTTGGTTCAAATAAAAATATTTATTTTTTGAGAGAGGCTATTTTTTTACATTTTACAGAAAAATTTTACATTTTTCTAATGAGATGCAAGCCCAAAAGGGATCAACTAAATGTATTATTTTGCTTAGATTAATAGAAGTTACAGCAGAAAATGCTGAAAAATTGCACTTCTGCAGAGCTCTAGAGTTTTATGTAAAGCAGTGTTATTACATAAAAGGATCTAAGAACCTAATGATACAAGGAAAATGAAACTATCAGGTAGTCAGAAGATTTTCCTTTTCTTTTTTACAATTATGTATATTTAAGGTATACACAATAAAAAGAATCTTATTGATGATGCTGAAGTGTTGCATTTGGATGATAAAATGCCAGTGCATTTTTTTTTTTTTTTTTTTGAGATGGAGTCTCACTCTATTGCTCAGGCTGGAGTGCAATGGTGCAATCTTGGCACCTCTGCCTCTCGGGTTCAAGCAAGTCTCCTGCCTCAGCCTCCCAAGTAGCTGAGATTACAGGCGTGCACCCCCACACCAGGCTAATTTTTGCATTTTTAGTAGAAACGGGGCTTCACCACATTGGCCAGGCTGGTCTCGAACTCCTGACCTCAGGTGATCTACCTGTTTCGGCCTCCCAAAGTGCTGGGATTACAGGCATGAGCCACCGTGCCCAGCACAGTGCATCTTTAACTCTGAATTTCAGGATGAAACTTCTTAAATTTTGTTTTAACTTGTTTCATGGCCTTTGTGTTACAAAAGACACCCTCTTTCTTAGATGATGTGTGTGAGATACAAGGACTACTAGGTTCCTCCTTTATACAGTGCTTTGAAGTTAGACTTCTCTTATCCCTCACCACCAAGGAGTTCAGGAAACTTTCAGGATATATTTATACAAAACCTTTCATTATGTAGATTTAAAATCTAGTGTCTGCTGCTTCATGAAAGAATCGTGTAATTTACATTTGCAGAGTCACTAGACTGCTTTGTATCTAGGGTCAAGTTGCAGGCTTGCACAAGTTGTCTCCTTTTGTGCAGGGAAGAACACTATTTACATTGAAATTATTGCTCTCTCACAATATTTAGCACAAACGACTAGCACTAATAGAACACCAGTAAATGTTTGATGAGTCTAATTGAATTAAATTGCTTTCTGATAAAAAGTGGTGGGTTGTTGAAGAATAATTATGATCATCCAAAATTTGTTCTGCCAGTTTGGGAAGAGGTGGGCTGAATTTTCTACAGACTTGCTTTTAAATTTGCAATCTAATAGTAGGCCACATTCTAGGTTGGTGCCTTTGAATAGTTTAATTCATAATGTTCACCTTAAGTAAAGCTGCTACTGTTTAAATACAATATTCTCTTTAGAAGTTAGATTTTGACATTTGTCTTCTGCTACACTTCTGATAAATTTGGATCTTTTCTGACACTTAAGTTTAGCTAGTTACTTGAATAGACCAATACCACAAAATCAATCCAACCATTTCAATCCAAAACTTAACAAATATATCACAAGGGGTTAGAATAATCAAAAGTAGAAAAAGACTGGCAGTGATTGAAGATAGGGAAGGAAGTAGGACTAAAAGGGGAGGGCTGCATGTTAACTAAAAAGTCTGGTTGGGAGTCACCGGGCAAGAAAAGTGTGGGACTGATATGGCTTGGATTTGTGTCCCTACCCAAATCTCATGTCGAATTGGAGGAGGGGCCTAGTGGGAGGTGAATGGATCATGGGGGAGGGTTTCCCCCACCCAAATCTCATGTTGAATTGGAGGAGGGGCCTGGTGGGAGGTGAATGGATCATGGGGGAGGGTTTCCTCCATACTGTTCTCATGATAGTGAGCCAGTTCTTATGACAGCCAATGGTTTAAAAGCATGTGGCACTTCCCCCTTCTTTCTCTCTTTCTCCTGCCACCATGTGAAGAAGGTCCTTGCTTCCCTTTCACCTTCCACCATGATTTTAAGTTTCCTGAGGCCTCCCAGTCGTGCTTCCTGTTAAGCCTGTGGAACTCTGAGTCAACTAAACCTCTTTTCTTCATAAATTTCACAGTCTCAGGTAGTTCTTTATATTAGTGTTTGAATGGACTAACACAGCGACAAAGAGATGTCATTAAGCATTTCAAGGCCAGGTATAAAGAAGGTGAAGTATTAATGGATGGAGTAGCATAGCAGAACCATGTCTTCAAATCACTGCAAGAAAATGAGGCCTAATATCAGAAAGGCAAGACCAAAACACAAGAAAATGCTTAGGTTCACTAATAACTGGAATGTATGAAGCTATATGCCCTTAACAGAAATAGAATGATAACATGGCTTGTTACTAAAACCAATTATAGGTAAAAAAATCATTAATCTTTTCATTATAGATAGAATTATAATTACATTATATGAGGGTAGCATATATTATAGAAAAGTATGACATTTGTGCAAACTGCATTAGGGCTTACATTATTGAGAAAGTAAAATTATGAGAGAAATAATGATCAGCCAGGCTAAGATAAAAACCCCTCTATATCTAATTCTACCCATTTTAGGCCTTGGAATGATCTGTGCTATAGTTCATATAGCTGTCTAAAAGTCTGTTTTCAAAGTTTGGCTATAAATTGGTGTGTTTATTTATTTTTGCCTGGATAGCATTTGCACTTTTCTTATTTTTGGTTATCTGCTTTTGCTGGTAGAACATTAGTAATAATTGGAATTGGTTTGTGGTTTGAATTGGGGGTAATTTTGTTTTCTACTTGGTATTTGCCAACCTTTTATTTTAAAAGCTTTACTTTACACCTATGCATAGCCTGAGGGAAATGGAAGTTTAGTACAATCAGTTAGGTCATTTATTTATTTGCAATAAGTTTTCTTCTATCAATTATACAATGTTCATAAACAACTGTTGGCTAAATTAATTCCTTTTGTTCCTTCAAATTGTATTCCCTTTAAACATGTTCCCAATGGTAATGGAATTTGCAAGTAAGAAATATGATCTATGATGTCAATGATAAGGCTTTATTTTAAAATATTATTATTTCAAACACACAAAAATAAATACATTATCCCCAGCACTGGTATTGTTATTAGTCAAGCTTTTTAATAATGCAGGAAAGAAACACACACGAATTACCTGTGGAAAGGGAGCTTATTAAGTTTATACAGAAACAGAGGGGTGAAAGTTCCAAGATTGGGATATACTATCCCTTTTGGAGACTTGAAACCATTAACTACTATCTAGGATCTAATAGGATATCTTTTCATTTAACATTTATATTTTTTAGTAATAAGAGAATTTGATTGGTTTAGTTTATCATCTTTCAATATGGAGCAACTTTATTGAGTAGAATTTCAGGCCAAAGTTCTTCGAGATGACTGGCCTCTCTTTTCTCCTTCTCCAATGTGATTGTTTTTGACTAGTGCACTGATAATCACTGCATTCAGTTGTGGGGAAAGGACTGAAGTTGGTTTCACTCAATATACATTTGAAAGCATTATACACAGGAAAGGGCCAGTTCTGGCCACTTTCTTTCAGAGGATACTATGAGCTTGGCAGTCATCTGATATTACATGGATTTCCCTTTAGCATCCAATAAAAATACCATTTTCCATTAAGTAAAGATCATCTTTCTTAATCTTTCTTAAATCAGTTAACTTAATTAAATTAGTTTTCTTATTTAAATTAGTTAGAAAATATGGTGGGAATGGAATAATTTAGGGAAAATCGTTTTATGTTAAAGAACTAAAATCGAAATATTTTCTTATCGAGACACTAGTTTCCAATTTCCTACCTTTTTTTTCTTGAAATTGTACACATTAAATTTATGTGTATTGTCTATATAAAGGAGTAGATGGGTATTGTGTTACGAAAGCTAAAATTTCAGGGCTCATTATATCTGTGATTGGTAGACTTAGCTGTGAAATGTCTGAAGTATGGAAACCAGGACTTCTCAGAGACTTGTGAATTTCAGATGATAGCTCATGGATTGTGAGTCTAGAGAAAGCTTCTCTGAGTTTAGAGTTCAGTTTTATTACTATAAATAAAAACACTGCCTTTTTTTGTTTTAACAAGATACTCATAGGGAACAGAACAAATGTAAACTGCTGGCTTTCCTCCCAGAAATTTTTGCTGTTTTAATGGAATATGTTATGAGGCAGTTAGCAGGAAACACTGACACACTACATTTTTGGGTAAGGTAGGCAGTAAAACAGTAAGTGGAAAGGGAGAAGCTTCTTAGCTATTTCAGCAGTTGCATAAAACCAAATTCTACAGAGAGCTGACTGATTCAGTCGTCACGTCCTGAAAGCGTTGCAGTATGCTCTGGGAGGAAGTTTCTAGCAGGTTTAAAAGAGGGTTTTGACACACAAGCCACAAAAGGTGTGGGGCTTAACATTTCCACTTACCTAGTCACACCAAATTAAAAACAGAGGACTGGGGAGAGGCGGCTGGGCAACTCTAAATTATGCAGGAACAGGAAGTTAATTATTGAACCTCTCTGGCCATCTGCATACAGTTTAAATTTTGAGAAAAATAGTAAACTGTATTATTCTGATGACTACAGCAGAAATGCACTCATGTTTATAGGATGTGGGAATAAGGCTAACATTTATGGTATGCTTGTCACATGCATCATGCTGGGAGATAGTACTTTTCTGTATCACTTATAATCCTCAATATCTTTTGTGTGGAGTCTTAATATCTCCATTTACATAGATGAGAAAATGGGTCTAGAGAGATTGAATTACTTAAGGTCCCACAGGTAAGAATAAGCCCATCCATCTGGAATTGGGATCCCAAACTGACTGATTTAAAACATAAGGTGCTTTCAGAGACCTGGAAAAATTTATTTACTATTGTTCTAGGAGCAATGAGAAGTTTCCTCCTGGAGTTATTGTGGTGAACTGCTCACTAATTAAAAGGATATTAAACAACGAGTGCATAAAAATTTAGTGCCTCTTTCATTTGTTCAACAACAGCTGCCTTGAGCCAGTGTCATGGGTATTTTGTGGGAGGCAGAATAAAACAGAAACAAATAAGTCACAGTATCCACCTCCAAGAAGCTTACTGCTTCGGAGGACGATATGAATGGAAATTACAGTAACATATAAAAGGAGCTAGAACATGGGAACCTCTGATAAAAGTACAACAAATTCTACCTCATATTATTTATTTAAAGATGTTTTTAGCATTTTTTATTGAGGTAAATTTTATACACAATGAAATATACAGACCTAAAATGTATACAATTTAATAAATTTTGATAAATGCTGGTGTGTGTGTAACCAATACCTAAAACAAGACATAGGACATTTTCATCATCCTGCAAAGTCCTCTTAGGCCCCCTTTCCTGTGGTTTTCCTGCCTTTAGGAACCATTATTCTGAATTCCATTATGATAACATTTCAACTTGAAATCCAAACTAACAAAATCACATCTTTTTTTCTTTTTTGGTTTAGCTTCTTTCTCTCAAAATAGTGTTTTGGAGGTTTATTCATGTTCATTGCATTCATAATACTTTTTTTTTAATTGCAGACTATTATTCTATTGTATAAAATACCAGAATTTGCTTATCCATTCTTCTATTGATGAGATATTCATTTTTTTCTCCAGTTTTTTTTTTCTGCCTATTGTTATTTGATATCTGGATCCTTCATTTAGGCAGGAGTGTCCAAGTATTTTTTATTATACCAGCCAATAATATACAAATATCATTATTATGAACCAGTATCTCAAGGCACAATATACATTTAGGGTGAGGTTTTTTGTTACTAGCAGTGGATAGCTGTTCATATTTTTAATGGTCTTCATATACATTTTTTTGTTGTTGATTTCTTATCAAATCCTATTAGACTTTCATTGATTTTATCAAGTGTGGCCAGTGTAGCCAGTGTGTAAATAATCAGTGTGGCTAGGGAGACTTTCATGCTAGAATTAATAATAATGTAAACCCTAGCATTCTTTTTGCTTACTGGTACTTACATTATTTTTGTTATTTTCATTCCTTACTTTAATTGGAAGAGCTATTGTAAGCCACTTGCCTATTTTATGGAGCTTTAGTTGAAACTGGATAATACAATTTGTAAATTCATTTGTTAGTTAAAACTGTAAAACCAGAAAGCCATTTTTTGGTGCAAATGTTGACTGTGACATCAACAAGATGAGAGCAAATGCACAAATGAAGTGACCTCTGTCCCATTTCTTCTAATTGGAGATGTTCCACTCTTTCCTCAGGGCATCCTGAACACTGTAGGTTATATGAATACATGACATATATATTGCCCTAATGGGTACACTAGTGTCAATCTGTATATTACAATCTTATAAAACTTAATTACTTATTTCTTTTTCTTTTTTTAAATATAAAAATGACAGATAATTAGGGATGCTGATATTTTCTACACTCAGTACAGTGCCTAGGCTTACTTACATCCTGGGATGCATGTACTCCATTTTGGAGAACCCTGACTGAAAGCATGGAGTTGTAGAAAAATTATGGACCAGCTAGTAGTGAGAATACTCATTGTTGTCTAATTATAGAACATACATTGGCTCTCTGTAGAATATTATATGAGTTACTCAATATTTTTGGAGCTCGTTTGTAAGATAAGGCATTTGGACTAAATACCTCTGAGGTCCCCCTGGATCTAACACTGCATGAAGATGAATTCCTTGTCTTTGTCCTTTTCACGTTTTTCAGGAGACCCATCCCTTCTTAATGTAATCTCCCTCTTATTACAGCAATGACCCCTAGTAGCCTTTAAGACAATATTGTGGGCTGAGTTAGTCTCTCATACGTCTTTTTTCCCCTTTATAGTCTAGCAAAATGTCTTGTTGCAAAAAACTCCCAACAGATGTTCTGCCAAAAACAATATGTAGGAGTCTAAGATGGCCAAGTCCAGGGCCACCCAATTGGTGTGATCCTGAGGCAAATGTTTAAAAGTCAAGGATGAAAGAAAGAAAAATTTATACAGATATTCTCACTCTCCTAGACAGAGTTGGCAATAACTGTAGACCACTTAGAAACAGGTGTAGTCACAGCAGGGAGAAGATTTATCTCATTGTTTTCTTGACCAGGACTTAGTTCTCTTTCTGATGCTAATTAGTAACTAGTTATTTACCTGACTACTAATCTTAATGAGATAGTTCAGCATAGATTGGAAGATTATTACAATCGCTTGCATTTTAGAGTATTTTGAATCTGACCATCTTATCATTGGATTTCTGAATTATTAACTTTGGGAAAATAGGGTATCCACTGCATTCATTCAAGGAAGTTTTAAAACACATGTGAAGTAAAATCTGAGAAAGAAGATGGGTTGGATTTTGAGCAGATGGAATATCACCCTGATGTGTTTTGTCTTCATCTCTTAGCTCATGGGAACTTTGTTATTTTTTGACTAGGCTTGGACCTAGTTCTAAAATCAGGTTTTAGGAAAAAAAGTATTTTTAATTATGCTTAAGATGAAATATAAGAGCATTTAAAAATTGAAGCAAGCTACTTAGAGGAGAGCAGATACTTAGTGATGAGAGCAAGGCAATGGAAAAATTAAAATTGGTCTAGAGAGGAAAAAATGTGCAAATTGGTGACTGAATATAAGAAGGAAAGAGAAAGTGTCAAAGATGATACTGAAATAGTTTAAAAATTAGTCTGTGATGAATGGCATTTAAACATGGTAATTATATGTATGTATTTATGTCATATATATGTATGATAAATATGTATGCATATATTTTTATTACTGAAATTCAACCAAAGCTAAATTTCCTGAAGGGGAATTATTGTTCAGCAAAAGAACCATGAAGCGTATACTAGTGAAAAACATGAAGGCTTGCCCTCAATGTACTCTTTCCACCCCCTCTGGCAGTGATGTAACGAGGAGCTATTAGTATTTTTGTTGTCACCAACTACTCATGCAAACTACATTAATTTTGCTGAAAATGGTCATTAGGAAAGTTAATTATTTTTAAAGTGTTAACTGATTATTGCATAAGTACTATGTGTTCACTAATTATTATTCCTTTTCATTAATTATATATAATTACTTAATTCCTAGAAGCAGATGATTCTTGTTTTACCATGCTGTTCACTTCTGTTAATTTGGCTTACCAGATAATCCTTTGTACTAATCCAGAACCATACACTTGAGTGTTCAGAGTAATTTGATAAACATTAACTTGCTAATCCTAATGACTTCTTGGTATCAAAATGAAAAACCTTCTTGCTAGCTTGTGTCTTATAGTCACCATCAAGTTGACAATTGAATAGTATCTGAATAAACAAAGGTAATGAAACCATATATAATGCTTGATAATTCTTGGGAATTAGCTCATTTCCCCAATGGGGGAAGAAAAATAAATCATACCTGATATATGGAATTATTCTGCTTATGCTGTAAATACAGAAACTTTAAAAATCACAATTTTAATGTGAAGGAGAAAAAAGTAAATATAGACAAACATTATTATAAATCAAATTTACATTTTATATCTACATGCAAAACTTGAATTTATTTGTAGATTAATCTAATTTTGAGACACAGTCTGATACAATTTACTGTTCCTTATAAATATAAACAAATGTTGTATGAAACAATTTAATATTGTGCTATTTAACAATGTAGCATTTTTTTTTTGTATTTTCAGGATATTTGTCTTTGGTAGTTCTTCCAAAATATTAAAATGATGGGTTTGTGTGTCATCAAATCTATTTGTTATTCAAAACAGCAGTCACCTTCATTTTCTTATACTCCAATCCCCACTGATTATACTTTCCACTCTGACTATAACTTCAACTCTACTTGCAAGTATCTTTTTTCTCTGGAGATACTACCATCAACTTTTTATATAATAGAGGCTTGAAAGAAAATGTTTGAGAAAGCAGAATAGTGACCAATTCACCATGATACAGAATAAAGGGATTTAGCTTTATATTTTTAGTCATTGTATAATAGTATATTAGAACACATTTCAAAGACTTATTTCATGCCCTTCTGATAAATACAGAAGAGTAAGACACAACTATTCAAACAGAGGAATTTTATACAATGAGTGGTTGAATTCCAGCTTAGATCAAATGAATTGTATCAATGTATCTTGAGACAATGCTATGTATCAAGAAGCATTTCAATTGCAGAATATATGAATTAAAAGCTCATTTTTCTTTGTTGGGTGCAGTGGTTCAGGCCTGTAATCCCAGGATTTTGGGAGGCCAAAGTAAGCAGATCACTTGAACCCTGGAGTTTTGAGACCAGCTTGGGCAACATGGCAAAACCCAATCTCTACAAAAAAAAAAAAAAAAAAAAAAAAAAAATCATCCAGA
Organism: Homo sapiens; assembly: GCF_000001405.40. Taxonomy (NCBI): domain Eukaryota; kingdom Metazoa; phylum Chordata; class Mammalia; order Primates; family Hominidae; genus Homo; species Homo sapiens. The sequence continues at coordinate 90,140,530 of NC_000003.12, read as the reverse complement.
AGGCTGAAGAATTGCTTGAGCCAGGGAAGTCAAAGCGGCAGTGAGCCTTGATAGCGTGATTGCACTCCATCCTGGGAAAAAGAGCGAGACCGTGTCTCAAAAACAAAAACAAAAACAAAAAAACAAAAGACACCTACAAAAAAACACCCTATTGTTCTCATTTGTGAAGGTCAATAAATCTGAATGCTGTTGGTTGTCACATAGGGAAGTTACCTTGCTTAAGGTAGAAGAATAACATACATCTTAAAAAAATAAGCTACCCAGGTCCAATAAAAATCAGCCAGGTAAGTGAACCCGGGAGGCAGAGCTTGCAGTGAGCCGAGATCGCACCAGTGCACTCCAGCTTGAGCGACAGAGCAAGACTCCCATCTCAAAAAAAAAAAAAAAAAAAAGTCAGCCAAATAAAAGAAGAGTGAAATAGTTTATTCCTTGCATGCAAGCATAGTGTTTACTTATAATGAATAGGAGAAACGAAACTGTTAGAAGTAGTAGAAAGTGCATTAGATAGAATGATGCTTGTTTGGAAGTGTTTTTCTAATTGTAATGCAATCTACTATTCTAATTTATTATTATCACTATTGCAAATCATTAGACATGGGTTTTAATCCCAATTCAGCAAACTAATTAGCAGTGAGCTGTTGGGCAAGTGTTTCATCTTCCCTTGTCCTAAACTAGATAATTTCTAAGGTCTCTTCAAATTAAAAATTTGTTATTTTATTAAAGTCCAAATAAATATGTTGCATCTTGGATGAGTTAAAAACCACATAATTAATTATGCAAATTAAGAACTCTAGACCCGCATTCAGTAAAAAGTAATCAACAGGTGTGAAAATATTTTCAGTTCTGTAAATTTAGGTGCATATCTTTATTCATGTTCATCTTTTTCTTTAATGTATAGACGTGTAAGTGATTTACCATCCACATTTTTAAAAGCTAGATTCTCTAATTTTAGTCATTATTAACAAGTGAGATTAGGTTTCTAAAATGGTGAAGATTTCACTTCTCAAATTTATTTTCATTCCTTTTCTCTTTTTTTTTTTTTTTTTTTGAGAGAGGGTCTCTGTCACCCAGGCTGGAGTGCAGTGGCACAATCAGCTCACCGCAGCCTTAAACTTCTGGCCTCAGCCTCCCGAGTAGCTGGGACTACAGGAGAGTGCCACCATGCCCAGCTCATTTTAAAATGTTTTTATAGATATGGGGACTTGCTATGTTGCTCAGACTGGTCTCCAACTTCTGGCCTCAAGTGATCATCCCTCCTCGGATGCCCAAACTGCTGGAATTATATGTATGAGCCACCATACCTGGCCTTGTACTGTATTTTCTTACATTATTTTTCTCTTTGTAACTATATAGCAGAGCATTTGGTATACAGAAATTCTCCACTGTAGTTCTCAACTTTTCAGACAAACAACTAATTAATGGAATTTTCCAGGTACAAACACAGCATCTCAAAAATGAAGTCACATGCATTCAGTTAAGAGAGAATGAAGAGAGTATTCTTCCTCAACCTCTCTGTTATTTTCTAGCTAACACCTACTTACAATATATGGTGAAATACTTAAAACTTAATATTGTTTATTACTTCAATTTGTTATCCTTTGTATTTTTATAATCTCTCCTTTGAAGCCCAGCAACTGATTCTTAGATACTTTTCTTTAAAGGCAATTGGGTTACTCTCTGGATAATATCAGCACTCTGCATTTCTTCACATAAAAGTACCAAATGAATGAGAAGAGAGAAAGCTGTCTCACATACAACATGAATGTGCTTTTCAAGAAAGGGAGGTAAGATAAAGACTTGTATTTAGATAAAGAGAATTAATTGAAACTTTAGTAAATAGCAGCTTTTCTCTTTGTGACTTTACTCCTTTTTTTTTTTTTTCTTCTGGACCTATGCTTACCCATGTGACTGTACTCTTTAAAGCCTTATGGGGAATGATTTCTGTATTCTGGGAAGTAGAATGGAGGCTTTGGCACTGATAAGGTAGCTAAGCCACTGCAAACTTCTGGAGAGAAGCAAAGTTTAAGAGAAAAGTTCCCATTTTCTTTTGCTTTTTATCTTGAGCAAAATTTAAAGTTTCAAGGGCACATGATCATGGTAGAATTGCCACGGGATGGTGGAATCAACCCTCAAAATGTATAGTGGTACCATTAATGTAGGTAATAAAGAATGACTCATATCTATAATCAGAAAAGAGAGTTCATTTGGGGATATGCTAAGACATCTTGATGTGGATCAATCAAAACTAATCCATTTTGACCAAATCAAGGCATGATCATCTACAGCTTGAAAATAATTTTAGTAGGATAATCTTTTTTTGCCTTCAAAATGACCTTACTCAGAACTCTGATGACACAACAGATAAAAGTGAGGTTTTGTTTGTATATATTTACTTTATAATTAACTTCATATTTGTTACATTTTCTTGTTGTAAAGTCAACATTTAGAACAATATTTAATCCATAATACATGTAAATATAAGTATAGCCACCCTAATTAAAGGCAGAGACTATTGGGATGAAAGAACAAAACCATCTATATGTTGTCTATAAAAAACTCACTATGAATATAAAGACATAGCTCCGTTAAAAGTTACAGAACAGAAAAGGTTGAATGATGCAGACGTTAAACGTAAGGAAGTTGGTGTGACTCTATTAATATCAAGAAAAATTGACTTCAGAACAAAGAATGTTACCAGGGATAAAGAAGAATACCACATAATAATAAAGGGGTCACTTTATCCAGAAGATACAAGAATTTTAAATATAAATACACCTAATAATAGAACTTCAAAATATGTAATCCCAAACTGGCTGAAGTGGAAAGATAAATAGACGAATCTACAATTATAGTTGAAGATCTCCACCCTCAGTTTCTCACTGTGGTGTCAAGTGGTCTTTCCTCTCTGCTCACATACTTCTGGAATCTCTTCCTCTCCTATAAAGGGTGCCAGTCCTATGGATTTAGCAACCCATATTTTTTTACCCCATTTATCCTTAGTTATCTCCTTAAAGATTCTATCTCCAAAAACAGTCACATTGGGCTTTAAGACTTCACCACACAATTTAGTCCCTGACATTCTACTCTGGTCAGCAATATTTATGTCCTTCTCTAATGCAATATAGTCATCTTGTGAAGGTTAATTTTATGTGCTAATTTGACTAGGCTAAGGAATGCCGAAATAGCTGGTAAAACACTATTTCTGGCTGTGTCTGTGAGAGTGTTTTGGAAGAGACTAGCATTTGAATCAGTGGACTGAGTAAAGAAGATTTATCCTCACCAATGTGGGGGGTGATCATCCAATTTTTGAGGGTCCAAGTAGAAATAAAAGCAGATAAAAAGTGAATTCTCTCTTTTCTTGAGCTTGGATATCCATCTCTCTCTCTTTTTTTTTTTTTTTTTTTTTTTTTGCTCTTGAATATTGGAGCTCCTAGTTCTCCAACCCTCAGACTGTGGGACCAATACCAGCAAACCTCCAGTTTCTCAGGCCTTCAGGCTTGGAGTGGGAGTTACAACACTGACTTCCCTGTTTCTCAGGACTTTGGACTTAGGCTGAATTATGCCACTGGCTTTCCTGTTTCTCCAGTTTGCAGATGGCATCTTATGGGACTTCTCAGGCTACATAATTGCATGAGCCAGTTTTCATAATAAATCTCCTCTTATACATATCTATACATATTTTATTGGTTCTGTTTCTCTGGAGAACCTTGACTAATATACAACCCATCCCAATATCCCCAAAAGTCTTAACTCATTCCAGCACACATTTCAAGTCCAAAGTCTCATCTAAATATTATCTAAATCAGGTAATGGTAAAATTCAAGATATGAGTCATACTGGGGCAAAATTCTCTTAACTCATTCCAGCACACATTTCAAGTCCAAAGTCTCATCTAAATATTATCTAAATCAGGTAATGGTAAAATTCAAGATATGAGTCATACTGGGGCAAAATTCCTCTCCAGCAGTGAAACTGTGAAACCAGACAAGTTCTGTGCTTTCAATATATAATGGTAGGAAAGACATTTCCATCCCAAAAAGTGGAAGTAAGAAAGAAGAAAGAAGTGATGGTCCCAATTAAGTCCAAAACTAGCAAGCCAAGGCTCAAAAACCATCTTCTTTTGCTCAATACTCTACATTCTGGTCCCACTGGGCATCAGGTCATCCCCACAGCCTTAGGAGGCAGCCTTACCCCTGTGGCTCTACAGAATGGCCTTGCAATGAGACACTGGGCAGTGGCATCCTCGCCCTAATCTCTGAAACTCAGGAGGAGACAGCCTACCCTGTGGTGGGAGGTGCAGCCCTGATTTTTGAATCACTTTCAGGGTCATTCTTCCTTTTATTTCAAGTGTATTTGAAGCTGGATAGCTTTATTGTCACATCCCGTAGCATTTCAGAAGTCTGACAGCCTTCTTTTATTCTTTCCCATTTTCTCTGTCCCCTTTAGTCTCAACTGATAGATTACCTATGGATTTAATCAGCCCACTCAGTTGAAGCCAGAAATAAAGATATGCACATATCTTTTTATGAAGCAATTGACAGTTAAACCCCTGGTGTTCCCTCCAGAGCATGCTTTCTAATTTTTTTGCAATATGGATAGGTTGAGAAATTTTCAAATCTTCAAGTTCTGGTTCTTTTTAACAATTCCTCTCATTTATCTTTTTCCTCTCTCATTTTACTATAAACAGTGAAGATATGCCAGGCTGCACCTTTAATACTTCACTTAGAAATGTCCTCCACAAAGTATCCAAGGTTATCACTCATGGTTCTATCTTCGAGAAAATATGAGAAAACAATTTTGCCAAGTTCCTTGCCACTTTATAATGTGAAAGTTGCCGATAGCAGAATGATTTCTGGCCTGACTTTTGTCAGGCCCAGACAAAGTAGGGCTGGGAAGGCACAAAGGAGAGGAGGCTCATGCTTACTTGTCTGAAATAAGAATTTTTACCAAAGACTTTCTAAAAATCCCACAGGAAGCCCTTTTACATCCTTCACACCTCTTCTGCTTTGACAAGGTTTATCTGCTGGCTTGACATTCTATGCATTCTGAAATCTAATCCTTATTCTCATTCCTGAATAAACTTAACATATTTGGCAATAATTTTCTTTATTTGTTTTTTCAGGTTGATACTAATGATTGCATTTTCTTAAGCTTCTAATAACATGTTCCTCATTTTCATCTGAGGTCTATCCTGAAGCATTTTTAATGTTCACTTTTCTAAAAACATTCTGTTCGTGATGATATATGTATTCTGTAAGACAATAGAAGGTTGTAAAGGGCTGCCTTCTCACTGTGTCCTTATCTGGCCTTTATTCTCTCTTTCTCTGTCTCTCTGTTTCTCTCTCTCTCTCTCCCTGTGTGTGTGTGTGTGTGTGTGTGTGTGTGTGAGAGAGAGAGAGAGAGAGAGAGAGAACATGCTCTGCTAACTTTTTCTCTTCTTGTAAGAACACCAGTACTATTGGATTAGGTCATCACTCTGATGACCTTGTTTTATCTTAGTTACCTCTTTAAAGGGCCTGTATACAAATACAGTCACACTGGGGCTTAGGGGTGCAACATGTGAGTGTGAGGGAACAAAATTTTGTCCAAACAACAACAAACTACCAATGCTTAGTGGCTTAAAAACAATAACAGCTTTGATTTAGCTCATAAATTTTCAATTTGGGTAGGACTCAGTTCAGCTTGTCCCTGCTCCACTCAGTGTCAACAGGGGCAGCTGGAAGGGTGTCATTTACTCATAGGTCTAGCAGCTGATGCTGACAGTCATCTATAATGTTAGTGGAGGATATCAGCTGAACGTCTACAAGTTCCATGAGGCGGCTAGGTTTCAAAGGTGAGAGTTTTGAGAGGTAGAGAAAGAGCCAAGCAGAAGCCATATTCCACCTATGACCTAGCTTCTAGAGTCACATAATATCACCTATTTTACGTTTTATTTATAAAGTTCTACCCAGCTTCAAGTGGAAGAAAAATAGACTTTTGCTCTTGATGAGAGAATAGCAAGGATCTAAAAATATTGCTGTAGAAGGAGAAATATTACTGTGGCCATTTTTTGAAAATACAATTGACCACATTATATATGGTTACCATGCTTTGAGAATTATAAATTGGTATCTTCTCTTTGGTTTACCACTAATCACATCTCCTCTTGCAGTTTTGTGCCATAGCAAGTAATCAATCATAAATATTTTTATTTTACCTTAGAATCATCAAAACACAAGGGCAGAAGCCAACAGGACTTTATGCATGGCTCAGCAATTTGCAGATTTATTAGATACTATTTATATTTAATCAAATATACCTACTTATAAAGGGCAAGAGTTTTTGCACAAGATAACAAATGACTTATTTTTAGCCTGGAAGGTGGCTGGATGTAAAAAACTGGAGGAAAACAGACAAGTATAGTAAACTGCTTTGGAAAATATTTTGAAAGCAAATTAAATTCCCTAAATTATTCTTTAGCTAAGCATTATATAGGTTGTGGCTCATTTTCTCAAGTCAATGTGTTAAAAATAAGTGCTTGAAATTAATATGTCAAGTATTTAAGAATAAAATTAATAATATGTATAATAAAACAATAAATTTAATAAAGTAATATTTCATTTTTATTTATTTTTGAACATTCATTATTTTAATTACTGGTCTCTGTAAAATTCCTCATTTTTTATAGCTTAGTAGTTGCACATCATGTTACAATGGTACTTTATTTCAAAACTTTGTTACAGGTCTTTACAAAGAAAACGAAAAAACCCATTGTTCAATCTTCCTATCATCTATTGTCTTTTTTTTTTTTTTCCTTCTTTCCTAGCCTCTTTCCATTTTAGGGTAAGATTTCCCAGTGACACTAACCAACACACAACCTTACTGTTTCTCTGAATCTCACTTTCTTCCTCACTTTTCTCTGATAGAGGTGACATAACATAAGAAAACATTTCTAAATGGCTGCCTATATTTGAGGCCTTCCCAGGTTAGATGCTGGTTAGCCTGTGGTCATTATAGGAAAATACAAATTGTTATTTTGTGCCCCTACAGGAACTGACTGTGGGTTTGTCTTCACTTTGACTGGCGCCAGGCAAATATGAGATGCAAAGTTGTGTTGAACCACATAATAATTCTGATGGGCATTAAATTTTAAGTTTGTTCAGAAAGAGGATGAATTTATGAATTACAGAATAGTAAATCCTTTGAAAAAGAAGAGGAAACATAAAATGAGATGCAATATAGATTTATATGCAATGTTGAAGTTTGGTCAGCATTATTTTTCAGATATTCTTATTTTTGTATGTGACATGCAATTATTTAGTTTAGACAGGTAAGTTCTTGGTGAAGAAGGGAGAAGGAAAAATTGAAAGAAAAATAAAATGACAGCATTTTAAAAAAGCAACACAGCAGGCAGTTTTAGAACAGGTGAAATGAATAAACTCCATTATTAAAATAGAACAATATGATAATGTTAGTGTGTGAGATACTTATTTAGAATCTACTAAAACCTATTATTACTCAGTAGATGCTGTTTTGTATATTGCTTCCCTTGATAAAATATCATGCAGACTAAAATGCTGGAGTATTTTAAGGAGCAGACTGTTACATGTCACCTGGATTTAAGAGAAAAACTTATTCATCACTGAAGTTTTTCTCAGACTAAAAAGATAAATAAATACATACATAAAGACGTAACAACCAAGCTTATAAAGACAGGTTCTTATTTTAATTTGGAACAGTTCTACTCTTAGAAAATTTGTCAACAAAAGCACACAAATTGAATCCTGTTTATTTTATTGTAATTAAGTCAAGAGTGGACATTTTCTACACTATCCCTTAAGAAATAAACAATAAGGTAAGTTACTTTTTACTTTTTTTACACTATTTATTTTTCCAATATGAGAATAATTAGTGAGCTCATTCTTTTAACAGCTGTCCCTGTTGTTCAGGATTTTTCTAAGAAGATCAGGGCCACTGGATGGAAAATAGAACTTAAAAAATCTAATAATAATAATAAAAAACCCACAAAGCATGTCTGAGGAATTAAGTAAAAACAATAAATAAGTCATTTTACAAGAGTTCAGTGATCTGGAACTTCCTATTCCACTTACCCACATTGAGGTTGTGTTGGTTAGTGTCAGTGGGAAATCTTACCCTGAAATGGAAAAATATTAGCAATGAGTCAGCCTCAAAGGGTTCACATTGAGTTTGAATAAGTATCCTGAGTTCAAACGTCTATTGGGATCTTAGTTAAACCTCTACCATCTACTAGTGCAGACCAAAAACTTTGACAGAACTGGCTTTTTTCCAGTATTGCTCCAGCATCTTCTGTCTCTATCAGAATGTTAATTTCTAAATTCCCTATATCCCTTATGTTTAATATATTTTCCATTCTTGCTCAATGGGTGTTCCTTCTTCACAGACATAGTAACGTTGAAAGTAAATTTACATATGCAGAAGATATGCAGTGGTAGGAAAAAGGTGAAGAAAATCTAACACCAAAGAAGTAAAACTCAGAGTTTTAGAGCCTCTGATTATAAGTGAATATGAGAAACACATGGGAAAAGAAAAGGTTAAAACTTTACAAAATTCTGCAAAAATGCATGACAATAAGTAAAAACAGTGTTAAGTTAGCTGGTTACATACATTAAATGTCATTTGATGAGGTCTTTGTAAAAATAATTCAAGCTATTAGATCTTTGGTTTGCACTGCCAAGCATAATTTATCCATTATCCGTTCCTCGTTAAATCAGAAAATTTCATATAATGTATCTTAGTAATTTAAAAAAATGTGATATGGGGGTTGGGAATTCTGAACATCAATATTCTTATTACTAGACTTTCTTCATACTACACAAACTAAATCTTAAAGGAGGTTCTGTTTTATCCTAGAGTAATTCCCTAGCTATGACATCTTAAAATTTCATGCCAGTGTGTTTAGAGTTGAACAAATTAGGAAGATATGGGGAGTAAAACTGGCCCTTTTGTAATTCTATAATAAATTATTATTATATATTTTGCTAACTTTGTTTGCAACTTCTAATAAAATATTTGATTGTGGCAATAATCATTAACAAGTGATAAATACTATTAGGTGAAAGATTGCTACAGATATTCATGAGATGTAAAAATATCATCACAAATATTACTTGTTGGTCACCAAGGGAAAAAGATATACTTTTATAGAGAAGGGATAAAGCTGTCACCCCATCAACTGAGAATCCAATGTTAGCATCACTAATATTGCAGATGTGATGTATGTCTTATTGTGATGCAGTATGAGGTACATAGCATCACCTATAAAGTATTATGTTGCATCACACTCCAGCACAATGTTTGTTCTAATTGGCTTCAAGACTTCTTTTGAATTTTGAGAGAATTTCAAGATGAAATGAGTATTAAATGGTACAAAAAATTAAGTTTGTTAAGTGCAATAATGGTGTTTTCTTATACAGGAAAACATTATCTTTAAGGATTACAAATAGTGATGTGGTGTTGTATTTAGGGCTTAAATATCATGATGTCTATATTTACTCCAAATTATAACACAAAAATAGATTAAATAATATAGTAATTGCCAGTTGTTAATTGTGATGATGAATGTATTACTCAGGGTTCTCCAGAGAAACAGAACCAAACGAATGTATGTGTGTATATATACATATATACGTATATATACACCTATATATACATATATACGTATATATACACCTATATATACATATATACACATATGCACACATACGTGTGTGTATATATACACATATCTATGTGTGTGTATATATATGTACATATATATACACATATTTATGTGTGTGTGTGTGTATATATATATATAGACTGAGAGAGAGAGAGATTTATATTAAGATAATTTTGTTTTAAAGAATTGCCTAAAATGATTATGGAGACTTTACCAGCCAGTCCAAAATACGCGGGGTGGACCAGAGAAGGGCCAGTGTTCAGGTGAAGTCTGAAGGCCATTTGCTGGGGAAAGCTCAGTCTTTTGTTCATTTCAAGTTTTCAAATGATTGTATGAGGCCCACCCACATCATGGAGGACAATCTGCTTTACTCAAAGTTCATGGATTTAAGCATTAATCTCATCCAAAAACTTGCTTACAGAAACATCCAGAATAATGTTTGACCACATATCTAGACACTGTGGCCCAGCCAAGTTCACACATAAAATTAACCATCACAATGGGTATATGAAACTTATTATTTTTCTACCTTTCTGCTAGATTTAAAATCTTCGAAATTAATATTTTTTAAAATATTTAAAAATTTATCTTGTAGATATTTATTTCTTATAAAATGTTGTTCCATTAGTTGTTGTTTCATTAGTTGTATGAAAAATTAAAATATGAATTCTGAGAATACAGAAAAGTTTATTATCAGTGCTTACTTTATCAACCTTAGTCAATGACATTTACACACTGCTCTTTACAGTATTATACAGAGAACAGAAACGAAAAAGAAAAAAAAAATTGAAGTCTTTGATGTTTAAAGTAGGAAAAACAGATGTGAAAGATTCGGTGGTTTAGGTTTCTGGTATATTTTATGCTGCATCTGTGGAGAAAAATGAAAAAAATTATTCTAATCCCATAGAAGCTTTCAAAGGATTTTTTTTTAAATTGCAAGTCCAAATCAATTACGTCATCCAATGATATCTATATGGACATGTTTAAACAGGATTTGACATATCTCCTGGTCTCATGGCTTGTGGTGTTGAGACAAATTTTATTTTAATCATTGGATACTCTTTAGTAAAGACAAAAGAGTACTCAACCCATTTAGAATACTTGGGGAATAGCTGAGAGATGGTATGATTGCACTCGAGATTTCTGACAGAGCTCAAATTAGAGAGAGAAAAAACAAGTAAAAATATGCTGGTATTGTTTGTGATAACAACCAAGGCACTTAGTAAATAATTTAAAAAAATAATGCCTGATTCAATGATTTAAATCAAAACAATATGAATGCTGGAAAACTATGAATTAGAGTTAACTGTGCTCACAGGAGAAGTGTCACTGGTGGGAAAAAAGTTTCTTGCAATGGCCGCTGGGACAAGAATAGGAAGCAGACAGGGAACAGAGTAGCTTTTGTCCTCCCCCAGTCCTCCAAACTCCCTCTAGCAGCACCTATTCTCAATGTACAACAGGGAGACAGCTGGGTAAAGCAGAAATATGGTTTATAGATGTCCAGCCCCAGCATCACACAAAGCAGTATTGAAGGTTGCGCTTGAAGCTTACTATGCAGCACACATGCTACTGATAACAGATCACTGAATATAATTAAGAATTTTTATCTCAAGTAAAATCATGTCTTATACAAACACTATATATATCATAAAGCTTTGGCCATGATTGCCTCTACTTTTTCTCCTTAGGTTACCTTTGGCCACTTTATTCTCATTACCCCTTCCCTCAAAGTGGAGGAGAGAAGAAATGGAAAAGAATAGATATGATAATATATAGAAATTACAGTTTGAAGAGAAGATTAGAGACCAAGCCAGACACTATCTTATATTCTGGGAAATGTAGATGTCTGGTGAACACAAATGCCTTTGTGATCTTTAACACAGTATTTTATTGCTTATTAAACCTTCCTTCCAAAGTATCAAGCCCAGCTGAAAATATGATTATATAAACTAGGGATTAGAGTATGATCTAAAACTTCTGCAAGAGCATTTCTTTTTTTCTTTTTTGTTTTTTTGAGGCAGGGTCTCACTCTGTCACCCAGGCTGGAGTGCAGTGGCATAGTCATGGCTCACTGCAGGGTCAACCTATCTAGGCCCAAGTGACCCCCCCACCTCAGCCCCACAACTAGCTGGGACTACAGGTGCGTGTCACCATTTCTGGCTAGTTTTTGTAATTTTTTTGGTTGAGATGGGGGTTTTCCATGTTGCCCAGGCTGGTCTTGAATTCCTGGGCTGAAGCAATCCACCCGCCTCAGCCTCTCAAAGTACTGGGATTACAGGCATGAGTCACTGTGCCTGGCCACATTTCTTATTTTATGCTAAAAATAGAATTATATTGGGTTTCTTATTTTAATAAAAAAATTAGTCCCCTCCATCTATAAGGTGTTGCATGTTTAATGTGTGACTTGATTAACAACAGCACACAGTCACCCAACCCACAGATACATAGTTTAAGAAACATGACAGCAAATCATTTATACATGTGTCACTTAAATGTATAAATGATGTTGGCTTTGTTAATATAGTCATGAATTGCTTAACAACAATAAAAATGGGATGTGTTCTCAAAATGTGTTGTCAGGTAATTTTGTTGTTGTGTAAACATTATAGAATGTACTTACACAAACCTACTTGACATAGCCTACTACACATATAAACTACGTGGTATAGCCCACTGCTCCCAGGCTACAAACCTATATAGCATGTTACTATACTGAATACTCTAGGTAATTATAATGCAATGGTGAGAATTTTTGTAACCAAACATAAAAAGTACAGGAAAAATACAGTATAAAAGACAAAAAGACAAAAATGATACACCTGTATAGGGCACTTTCTATGAATGGAGCTTGCAGGACTGGAAGTTATTCTGGGTGAGTCAGTGAAAGAATGTGAAGGTTTAGGCATTACTCTATACTACTGTAGACTTTATAAACACTGTAGACTTAGGATATACTAAATTAATTTTTAAAAAGTTTCTTTAATGATAAATTAGTTTTAGCTTAGTGTAACATTTTTAAACTTCTTTTTTTAATGTTTTAGCTCTTTTTAAATAATGTTTACCTTAAAACAAAACACATTATACAGTTGTACAACAAAAATATTCTTTTTTTAAACAAATATGTTTTATGTTCATAGCTTGGAAAAATTAATACTGTTTAAAATGTCCATATTACCCAAAGCAATATACAAATTCAATACAATTCCTATCAAAATTTCATGAATTTTTTACAGAAATATAAAAAATTTTCCTAAAATTTGCATGGAACCACAAAACACCCCAAATACCCAAAGCAATATTGAGCAAAGTAAATAAATACAACAAAACATACAAACAAAAAAATAAAGCTGAAGACATCATACTACCTGGCTTCAAAATATACTTCAAAGCTATAATAATCAAAACAGCATGGTACTGGCATAAAATACATGTAGACCAATGGAGTAGAATAGAGTGCCCAGAAATAAATCCACACAGTTACCGTCCACTGATTTGCAACAAAAGTATCAAGAATATACAATGGAAAAAGGACAGTCTCTTCAACAAATGGTGTTGGGACAATCTGATATCCAGATGCAGAAAAATGAAATTAGAGCCTTATCTCACACTGTATACAAAAGTCACCTCAAAATGGATTAAAGACTTAAACATAGAACTGAAATTGTAAAACTAACAAAAGAAAATACAGTGGGAAAGATCAATAGCACTGATTTGAGTAATGATGTTTTTTATATGACCTTGAAAGCACAGGCAATAAAAGCAAAAATAGGCTAATGGATCAAACTATAGCATCAAACTAAAAAGCTCCTGCACAGCAAAGAAAACAAGATTGAAGGGACAATCCACAAAATGGGAGAAAATATTTGCAAACCATACATCAGATAAGGAGTTAACATACCTAATATATAAGGAGCTCAAACAACTCAATAGTAAGAAAACAAATAACAAGATTTAAAGGATGGGCAAAGGATGTGAATAGACATTTCTCAAAAGAAGACACACAAGTGACCAACAGGTATACTAAAAAATGCTCAACATCATGAATCATCAGAAAAATGCAAATTAAAACCCCAATGAGATATCACCTCACACCTGGAAGAATGGCTATTATTGAAAGAGGAGAGATAACAAGTGATGGAGAGGATGTGGAGAAAAGGGAATCTTGCACACGGTTGGTAGGAATTTAAATTAGTACAATCATAGTAAACAATATGGAGGTTACTCAAAAAATTGAGACTAAAACAACTATCCAGCAATCCTACTACTGGGTATATATCCAAAGGAAATGAAATCAGTATGTCAAAGACCTATCTGCACTCCCATGAATCAACTTAAATGTCCATAGTGGATGAATAGATAAAGAAAATGTGAAATATATATATACAGTGGAATACTTGTCAGCCATTAGAAAGAATAAAATCCTGTCATTTGTGACAATATGGATAAATCTGGAGGGCATTATGTTTAGTGAAATAAGCCAGGCACAGAAAGACAAATACTGCATTATCTCATTCACGTGGAATGTAAAAAAGCTGATCTCATAGAAGCAGAGAGTATAACAGTGATTACCAGAGATGGTTAGGGCAGTAGTAAGGAGGAGAAGTTGAGGAGAGGTTGGTCAATGGGTACAAAGTTACAATTAGATAGGAAGAATAAGTTCTGGTGTTTTATTGAACAGTAGAGTGTAGTTAAGAATAACGTATATTTCAAAATAACTATTATAGAATAGAGGATTTTGAGTGTTCTAACTTCAAAGAAATGATAAATGTTTGAGGTAATGGATATGCTAATTACCATGATTTGATCATTACTCAGTGTATATATGTATTGAAACATCAGACTGTAGCCCATAAATAGGTATGTGTCAATTAAACTAATAAAAATAATAAAATGTATAGTTACTTCCAGGGGGTAGAAAATGTGGTATATATTCATGGTATACTATACAGCCTTAAAAAAGGAAAATCCTGTCATTTATGACAGGAAAAACAAATAAGATAATCCAATGTACCATTTGTTGAAAAGACTTGTTCTTTTTATTGTATTATCTTGACATCTTTGTAAAAACTCAGTTGACCATAAATGTGTGGGCTTAATTCTGGACTCTATTTCATTCCTTTGATCTATATGTTTATCTTTTCACTAAAAGTAGATTGTCTTGATATTGTAGCTTTATAAGTTTGAAAATCAGCTGTGAAATCCTCCAATCTTGTTCTACTTGTAAACATTGTTCTGGCTATTATAGGTCATTTAACGTTTCATATAAATTTTAGAATCAACTTTTCAATTTCTACAAAGAATTCCGCTGGGATTTTTATTGGGAATGTGTTTAACATTTAGATCAATTTAGGGAAGATTTGGTATCTTAGCAATACTGAGTCATCAGACTGTATGAACATATATACCTCCATTTACTTGGATCTTTTTTTTTTATTATACTTTTAAGTTTTAGGGTACATGTGCACAACATGCAGATTAGTTACATATGTATACATGTGCCATATTGGTGTGCTGCACCCATTAACTCGTCATTTAACATTAGGTATATCTCCTAATGCTATCCCTCCCCCCTCCCCCCCACCCCATAACAGGATCTGGTGTGTGATGTTCCCCTTCCTTTGTCCATGTGTTCTCATTGTTCAATTCCCACCTATGAGTGAGAACATACGGTATTTGGTTTTTTGTCCTTGTGATAGTTTGCTGAGAATGATGGTTTCCAGCTTCATCCATGTCCCTACAAAGGACATGAAGTCATCATTTTTTATGGCTGCATAGTATTCCATGGTGTATATGTGCCACATTTTCTTAATCCAGTCTATCATTGTTGGACATTTGGGTTGGTTCTAAGTCTTTGCTATTGTGAATAGTGTGGCAATAAACATACGTGTTCATGTGTCTTTACAGCAGCGTGATTTAAAATCCTTTGGTAAACAGGTGCTGGAGAGGATGTGGAGAAATAGGAACACTTTTATACTGTTGATGGGACTGTAAACTAGTTCGACCATTGTGGAAGTCAGTGTGGTGATTCCTTAGGGATCTAGAACTAGAAATATCATTTGACCCAAAAATATTCTTTCTTAATAACCTTGTTCTATATTTTTTTTCTACTTTAAAAATTATTTATTTTCTACTTTTTAAATGTTTTTGTTAAAAAAGACACGCATTAGCTTAGGCCTACACAGGGTCAGAATCATCAATATCACTGTCTTCCACTTTTATATATTGTGCCATTGGAAGTTCTTTAGGGACAATAACATGCATGAAGATATCATGTTTTATGATAATAATGTCATTTTTTTGAAATACGTTCTGAAGGACCTGCCTGAGGCTGTTTTACTGTTTATTTTTTTCCCTATTATGAAAGGAGTACATTCTAAAATAATAACAAAACTATAGTATAGCAAATACATAAGCCAGTAACATAGTCATTTATTATCAACTATTAGTTACTATACATAACAGTACATGTTACACTTTTATAGGACTGGCAACACAATAGGTTTATTTACACCAGCAGCACCGCAAACATGTATGTAACAAGTTTTGCTAAGACATGAAGGCAGCTACAGTGTCACTAGGCAATATAAATTTTTCAGCTCATTATCATCTTATGAGACCTCTGTTATATATGTGGTCTGTCATTGACTGAAATGCTGTTATATAGTGTATGACTACATAAATAAAAAAATCTGTAGAATCATAGAGACTCTCATATCTATCAATATAATCGTATTTGAAATTATTTGTATTGAAGCTACACAATAGAGCAGAAAAATTGCAAGATCGTAGATCTAAAGACTGCTATTATGTCTAGCCTTTCAATCTGTGAAGTCTTTGGCAAGTTAACCTGACTTTTTCGGCATTTTGTCATCTTTCAAATGGTGGTAATGCTCAGTCTGTGTAAGGAACTAATGCTTCAGTTCCAATTCTGTACCAGGCACTATATTTTAATAAATATTTATAACATCTTCATGGGATATGTATCATTATCTTCATGTAACAGAAAAGAAAACTAAACTTCAAAAGGAATAGAAAAAGGAAAGATCAAAGTCACAAAGCTAAGTGATAATCAAGACTTGAACCAGCCATTTCCTCTCCAATCTAGGATAAAATAATGTATGTGATTATACTTGTAATCTATGAAGTGGTTATATAAACATATTAATTCAAGATAATTTCTCTTTCAGCTTTCATCATTTTAAAACAAGAAAGATATTTTTAAAAATATCCCATCAAGCTTGTGGGCAGCAAATCTTAACACAAAAATTAATCCTCTAAGAGGAGGAACTCGTTCTTCCTTTGCACCTCCAACTTAGTTTCCTATGATTCGTTTTATTTTTTGATATGGGTTGAATTATCTCAACAATCACTCAGATTTTCACTTATTGAATGTTTCGTGTTAAAGGAAAAAACAATATTCGTTAAGATAACTTCAAAGTGTGTTTCATTCCCTTGAGAAATGAGAAAGCCTCATTCTTCCAATATAACCATGGTCACATTATGTGTTTGAAACTACTCTTTTTTCCCCAAAAGTAATTTGTTCCTCCAATTCCATTTAGTAAAATGTACTTTTTTTCTGCAACTGAATTCAAAATTCCTATACTCAATACTTCATTTAATTTCTCCTTTATCTGAATTCCATCAGTATTTAGAGTTCATGGCAAATAAATAATCGTGTGTGTGTGTGTGTGTGTGTGTGTGTGTGTGCGTGTGTGTGTGTGTATTTCCTCTAGGGTAAAGATCGCTAATCATAAGAACACTCAATATTTGATGGTAACACTTAAGTGTTGTTTCATACTGTTACCTGGTATTTTTAAGAGTATTATTATTGCTTTTCCAATTAGATTTAAATGCCTTGAAATAAGCCAGATTTTCATTATTATCTCAAAAGCTTTTAGCAACAATTGTCGTATTGCAGTTGCTTAGGCAATTCAATTAGCATCATTAATTCAGCAAGATTTTATTATAATGGTTCTTTAAATTCACCACTATATTGATATAGACTCAGCTTCAATCTCTATTAATAACCTTATTTTAAAATCTGCACATAATATTTAATAGGTTGAAGAAAGGGATGTATGGAAATAATGAAATAAAGTTTTCCATTTTTTTAATTGAGTCTATAATCATTTCAATGAAAATATTTAAATGCTGTAAATTAGTTATTTATGAGAAGGAATAAGTGAAAAACAAATTACTTCAGGGAAAATGATTCTCCCTTAAAACCAGAGTGTATACTAGTAACCAGAAGTCATGATTACCTGGATGGGTATGACTAGCTTAATATAATTTTTTTCTCTTATTGTTCCACAGTTGTCCCACTGTGGAAATTCACCTGTATCACCACTCCTTTTGGTACCAACCAAAGAGCAAGGGTAAAGTTTCTGTTAAAATGGAAAGGTAGACTGTGTAAGTAAAAGCTTTCCCTGAGACTTTCTGCCAATCTGGCAAAATTCAGGTCAATAAATCTGAACCACCTCTGAGATTGGGCCCATAGAACAGCCATTGCTGAGGCCAGGTCCAAACCAGCTTTATCCTTCTATAAGTGTGCTGACCTGAATAAATTCAATCAGAAGGCTTTATTCAGTCCCAGGTGAAAAAGAAAATCTCTTAAAAAGTAAAAAGAATCTCTTTTAATACATCTACCCTGACACTTATCAGGGATATCAGGAGAAAAGGAATTGTTAGAATAGATCGTGATCCTGATACCACATTTTTAGAATCAGCTTATTCAGGTAAAAGGTAAGGCATTTTGCAGGGCAAACTGAAAAACAAATTGCAGTCGTTGCCTTGTTAAACCTTGGAAGAAATGAAGAATTTCAGTCTTTGGTGCTGTCAAACTGACACCATTCATCATCCTTGAATTGGCTCTTGGCTTTAAAATAAATAAAACAAACCAGAGATCCTCTTCAGAGCCCCATAATAAAGAAAGGCAACTCCCTAATGTAGCTCTTCTTGATTTGGGAGTTGATAGCAGAAAAAAAAAAAAAAAAACGATTTCAAGTCCTTAATACTCCCAAGACTGAGAACCACACTGGAGTCAAACAATCTCAAGAAGTTACTGAACTAGGTATTGATTGCAAACTCGGGGGCTGTTTGTTATTTGATTTTTCAATTTCCAAGGAGTGAGGTGAAATTCACGTCTCTCCAGAAGAAAGCATGCTTTGGTTCCGGGAAGCAAGAGTTTACGTGACTTGAGTTCATTTGAAGAGAATAATTTATATTGGCATGAATAAATAATAGCAGGGAGTTCTAACTGTCCAAACACGATATATAATACCCTGAGAAAAAAATGTGGACCATGTTGTAATGTCCTGTATTTCACATTATGAGAAACGGTAAGAACTAAATCATTTCAAAATCACCTATGTACTGAGGTTTTTAAAGCTGCATTTGTCAAACAGCATCCTGGCATCAGTTTGAGATACAGGGGCAGCTTGTGTTGTAATTAACTGTCTACTCTCTAAGCTTGCCTGAAAACTTGAAAATGAATGACTTACAAAGGATATCAGAATGATGTTGTGTCCTTTTATCAAGTTTCTCTTCATGAGAAAATAATAGATAAATAGTCAGTGAGTTTTTAGAAAACCATAGACCAACTTATTTGGTGTGAGAGGGAACATTTCTGCATCTTTAATTGGTAGACAGAAACTTCCCCAGCTGCTACCAATTAAACCCTGCTCACTGCTTCTGGTAGATATATCTCTGAACTGAGTACATTTGCAGGCTTTGTTTCCTTTTGTTCAAATTAAATCTCAAATGAACCAACTCCTCTGAATTAACGTAATTGCAGTTGAATATTGGGTGCTGTCTCCCTTGAGTTTCTTCATCTACAGATCAGACTTTTGCATGTCAGGGTTTATTAAGAATATTTATGTATTAAATATAGAAATGAAGATTTAAATTCTAATGAATATACTTTAATTCTAAGGTTGAAAGATATCTGAACTGGAGAGTGATTAAAACTAGCTTTTATTTCAGTAAATGACTGAACAAAAGTGGGCATAGCCCAAAAGAAAGTGTATGGGCCAGGAGTGAGGAAGTATTAGTCCTGGTTTCTTGTGCCACATGTTGGCGGTGGGATCTAAGAACAGTCATTTGATTGAGCCTCAATTTTCTTTTCTGGAAAGTAAGAAACATGGGCTGAGATATTAAAATTCTGTGATAAGCTAAGGGTCCACACTGAGCTATTTTAGATTTTACTATTATAAAGGAAGAACAATAAATTTACTTTCCTTATGTAATGCTCTTACTAGAGGCATTTGTGAGTAACGGAACTTTACGATAATCTGCTCCCACCTTTTCACAGATGACTTCATCAACACTTGTGGGCTTTCAGAAATCTATTTTTACCACTGAGAACTAAAAACCCTACTTGTAACTGCAATGTGAGAATCCATTACACTGATGAAGATGCTATTGATATTCACCATGATTTCCAAATTTAGAATGCCAGTATGTTGCTTAACATATATGCATGTATGAAAAGTATTATTCCACATGTTATGTAATATATCAATTGCTGTTCATATGCTGTGGTTGGCTGAAAAATGACCTCTCAAAAGATAGCCACTGGAACCTGTAAATGTTAAAATATGAAAAAAGGGTCTTTGCAGATGAAATTAAATTAAAGATTTTGAGATGTGGAGATCATCCCAGGTTACTAAGGTGGGCCCTAAATGTATCTTTATAAGAGGGAGGCAGAGGGAAATTTTAAACAGAGAGAAGAGAATAAAGCAATATAATTACAGAGGCAGAGATGGGAGTGATGTGGCCACAATCCAAGGACTGGGGGCAGCAACCAGAAGCCAGGAAAGGCAAGGAATGGATTCTTTCCTAGAGCCTCTAGAGGGAGTGAGTGCAAACTTGACACCTGATTTCAGCTCATTGAGACTGATTTTGGTCTTCTGGACTCCAGAACTGTGAGGGAATGCATTTTTATTGCTTTAAGCCACCAAGATAGCAATAATTTGTTACAGCAGCTACAGGAAACGAATACATATTCTCACTATCAAAGAGCATGGACAATGCAAGTCTTGATGCCAGAGACTTGCTAAATAGCTGGGCTATAGTCGCCTTTGCTTCTAATTTGCTTCCATTTGACATTTCTTTCTGTAGATCCTACAGTTAATGAGAACTGTTTTTAGAGTGTCATCCTAGGAAAATTTTATGTACATGAGGGTATGGTGTGACTCTTACTTTTGATAAATGGAGATTATATAACTGAATTTTTCTTCAGTGCTTTGTCCCTCCAGGAAGCTGAACGTGAAATGTTAAGTTTACCTCGTTATAATCTGGGCTCCTTAGATAGGTGCTTTCCTTTTTCTATTAGGTAGAAATCTTCTATATTTCCTTGGCTCAAATTCATATTTCTATTTCAAAGTCAAAGTCTCTTGTGAAAGTTATCTTAAAACTCTTTCCAGAACAAGGAAGCAAATACACATTAAGTAAGGTAAGTACTGCTGTATAAATTCTATCCAACAAGTAGAGATTCGTTAACAACACATATTGAGATGGCTGTAGGTATACATTATAGGTTCAAGTTTAAATGTGTTTTGTCTCAGTGGTTAGAAAATAAAAAGCTATTTAAATAGCCTTCAGCCTAAACATCAAATTCTTTTACAAACCATCCAGAGTATTTATCTACGTCACAAATTAAATTTTGTGATCTTCCTATTCCTTGGCAATCAAATCACCTTATTAACTTGATACATATAACTTACCAAACAATTACAGCCGATGGCATAGTTAAAATTCAACTTTATTTTTGTCTCCTATTGTATTCAAACTGTATTCAGTGAGGATATTTTTTCATGGATAAAAATAGATGCAGGGTTCCATAGATACGTGCTTTCCTTTTTTATCAGGTAGAAATCCTCTATATTTCTGTTATTCATATATACTACATCTTCCATTAACTTGATGTCTCAAACACAGTCTCAATATGGTAAATAGGGTGTCTGGTCCTATATTAATGAAGATTATAAACGTGATTTACTGTCAATATTTTTTCTCCATTCCCAGCTTGAGCCAGGCCCAAATATGGATGCCTGCAGCAAGGAAGAAGCTGTACCCAGTTTCTTCTTCTTTGTTCACCATCATACCCCATCCCTTTGGTCCCACAACTTGTTAGCTTCCTCCATTTACTAGATGCTGTTTCTTATCCTGAAGGGTTGAAGGAGGAGGAAAAACAAAGGAAGTTGACAGACTTGGAGAGTTTTGATTTCAAATTGTACCATCATTAGCTGGGTCTGTGCTCTCTGGGCCTAACGGGTGATTTTTTCTTCCTTCCTTCCTTCCTTTCTTCCTTCCTTCCTTCCTTCTTTTTTTTTTTTTTTTTTTTTGAGATAGAGTCTTGCTCTGTAGCCATGCTGGAGTGCCATGACGTGATCTCAGCTCCCTGCAACCTCCGCTTCCTGGGTTCAAGAGATTCTCCTGCATCAGCCTCCTGAGTAGCTGGGCTATGCTTGGCTAATTTTGTGTAATTTTAGTAGAGACGGGGTTTCACCGTGTTCACTAGGATGGTCTCGATCTCCTGACCTCATAATCCGCCCGCCTCAGCCTCCCAAAGTGCTGGGATTACAGGCATGAGCCATCGCACCCAGCTGAATCTTTCTTTCATAGTGCCCTTTCATGGGCTCTTGGAAGTCCTCATGCCCTCCTTTGGTTCCCTTGACACCAGCAGATAAACTACTAATCTCTCTTTTGGTGGAGTCATGAAGACCAAGACTAAGTCTCTTTCCACAGGTCCTAGGCATTCAGTTTGACACATCAGCTTCTTTTTTTTTCTTAGCCCCTGGAAGGGTCCTATGAGATAGGACTCAAGGTGACCCAAGACAAGGTGACCCAAGACAAGGTGACCCTTTTGTTCTGACCACCTCTGAGAGGGCAGCCCAATGACCCCATAGCAGCAGTCTCCTGCTGTTGTTTGAAGATAGTCATCAGACCCCCCTCTCCATCCCTATGTTGTCTAGAAGTTAAGCCCAGTCCACCATCAGCCTGTGTCAGGCATGATTTGGCACCTGTCCTCTATCTGACTCAGCTTCAAAGAGCACATTTCAAAGCTATCAGAGTAGTTCCGTTGAAACATGCCACCTCTTTTAAAGGTTTGAGGTGAAGGAACAGCCATCTTTACATTAGAGTGGGTGCAAATAGCTTTCCCTAAAGGTATTTTCATCATAACATCTTTACTCTTTTTCCACACTCTGACCTGTGGTCCATGATTTGCTGAGAAGATTCAAAAGTCATAAGGTTGGTTCATAGAGAAGTTGTTTAAATATCTGCATATGTGTATTTCTCTCACACATCCCGAGGTGCTTGCCCTCTTCAGTACTGACACCTCAGTTACTGAAGTAGAAAGAGTTACATCCAAAAATTCTGACAACCTGTGACCCTCAACCCTGGATGTGCACAGAATCACACAAAAAGTGTCATAAAGCATCCATGCCTAGACCCCTCCCCAGACTATGAATCACAATCTCTGTAGTCCAGTGATTAGAAATCCAAATTTTTGAAAGCTTAAGAGATGTGAAAGACTGTTAGGGTTTTGCTTCATTGATAAGCTTTTCAGAATCATAAATGACGTGATACTCATGGGTGTCTGGGCCTTTTTTGGTGGAAATAGCATGAATATTACAAATTCTACTTTTATAAACTGTTTATTCTAAACAGTTTGTACTCTAAAGTGGTATTCTTATTTATAAAAATATGGTAAATTTTTAACAATATCTTCACAGAGAAGTTATTAATCCATGAAGGTTTATGCCATTGGATGATTTGCATTTTCCTTTAAATTTCCTTTTGCTACAGAGTCATTTAGCAGATAATCAAATATGTATCACACACATTCATAATTTCTTGGTGTGTGTTATTGCTAAAGCTGCTAGCATTAGTGGAGAAACAATGGTTTCACTTACATTTTCAATTCAAGTCCTTTTCTGGGGCTTACTTTTCCCTAACTAAAGTAATAACATTGAAATATGTTTTGATTTACTTCCAAAGGAATAAAAATTTCCAGGAAAGTCTTCCCCCAAATGTATAATGTGAAAATATGTTTATATAGTATATTAACTAAAGAATCATAATTAAACACTTCAGGCAGCCAAATAAAATTTATCAGAAAGAAAAGCATTTGCTCTACTGATTCATTTATGCCATTGTGCCTTGGGATAGCATGCGGAAGCCTCCTGACATTGCTATAATTTGGGCAATGTCAACATTAAGCCACCAAATCAATCTGGAAAGTAAAAAATACGTCACGCAGGTATTTTTCTCAAGGCCTTGTTTTGATGTGAATTTAAACTTTGCTCATTCTTAGGAATCTTAAACCACAATATTAAATCTAGACTCAAAACAAAAATTGTAATTCAATGTAAATCATAAAAATATAAAAGTTTATATTTAAAGTTAGAAATAATAGGCAGTCACCTAGGTGAAGTGACTTAAGAGGCTTTGTCTCAGGACAGTTTTTTTTTTTTTTAATCTAATCTGTGCCCAAGATTTTAACTATTATATTAATTATGCATTGTTGTGAAACAAATTACCCCGGAACTTAGTGGCTTAAAATAGCACGCATGTATTTTCTTGCAGTTTTTGTGGGTCAGGAAGCTGAGTAGACTTTTGCGGAGTCCTCTGTTCTGTGGTCTCTCATAATCTAGGTTTTGGCCAGGGTTAGGGTTTTACTTGAAGTCTTACTTAACTGGGAATAATCTGCTTTGAAGCTCACATACTTGGTTCCAGGTAGGATTCTGTTCTTCACTAAGTGTCGGCTGGAGGCTACCCTCAGTTTGTGTTATGTAGAGTTTTCCAGCATAGCAGTTTGTTCTATCAGAGCCAGAAAGAGAGGAAATTAGCTAGCAAGAAGGAAGCCACAATATTTCTAACTTACTGTCATTGCATGACCCTTTACATCCCCCTAAAATTTATACGTTGAGATCCTCATCCCAATGATGTGATGATAGCAGGAGATGAAATCTTTCGGAGGTGATTAGGTCATAGAGGCAGAGCCCTCATGAATGAGACAAGTATTCCTGTAATAAGAGGCCTGAGAAAGATCCCTCACCATTTCCACCATACAAAGACAGAAAGCACCATCTATGCACAAGGGGGCCCTCACTAAACACCAAATCTGTCGGCATTTCGATCTTGGACTTCCCATCCTTCAGATCTATGAGAAATAAATGTTTGTTGTTTAGAAGTTACTCAGTTTATGGTATTTTGTGTTAGCAACCTGAATAGAAAAAGACACCTTTCTTAGTCTGTTGTGTGCTGCTATTAGGAAATACCACAGACCGGTTAATTTATAAAGAACAGAAATTTACTGGCTCATGGTTCTGGAGGCAGAGAATTCCAAGACTGAGGGGCTGGCATCTGTCAAGGGCCTTCTTTCTGCATCATGTCATTGAGGAAGTCATCACATGCCAAAAGGGCAAAGAGAAAGCAAGGGAAAAAGCAATAGGGGGCTGAACTCATCCTTTTATAAGGAATCTACCCCTGCAATAACAAACCCCCTCCCACAATAACACCATTCGTGAGGGTACACCTCCCATTAGGCCCCATCCTCAACACTGTTGTATTGGGATTACATTTCCAACACAGAACTTTGGGGGAACACATTCAAACCATAGCAACATTTAATCATGTAAGTGACATTGTATCACCTTTGGTATATATTTTTTGTTGGCAGCAAATAGCTGGCTCTAGCTCACCATCAAGGAGAAAGTATTATACTAGGATGTGAGTTATAGCAGATCGAGGGTTATCTTAGAAAGCCATAGCCCAAATATGTCCAAATGCTTCTTTTCTTGTAT
This sequence comes from Homo sapiens, assembly GCF_000001405.40. Classification (NCBI taxonomy): domain Eukaryota; kingdom Metazoa; phylum Chordata; class Mammalia; order Primates; family Hominidae; genus Homo; species Homo sapiens. The sequence continues at coordinate 90,115,042 of NC_000003.12, read as the reverse complement.
TTAAAAAAAATTCAGTTAAAGGCATCATTAGCCATTCAGCTTCTTGTGCTATAAACTTGTTGTCATGTTTAATTCTTCTTCATTTTCTCTCAATACTCACATCTAGCTCATTCCTAAGTCATGTAGATGCTTTGACCAGAGATTTTTTTTTTTAAATCTTTTAAATATACCCAACTGTCACTAATCTACTGAACATTTTTCATTTGGACGAGTGCAAGAGCCTTCAAAGATTGTTTCATGAGTTTTTATTACTCAAATTCATCATTTCCTTAACTTGTTACTTGGCTTGTATTATTTCTTCTCTAGGGAACACTCTCTCTTACTATCAACCTTTCTTGCCAGCAAATTTTACTCATTTATTAAGGCCCAGTTTAAATGCCACCTTATCTGTGAAACCCTGGTTTTACTACATATGACACAGGAAAGGCCCTATCTCTATGTTGGAAATAGATGATGTATAGTAAAAAGACCATAAAAAATTGTACTCCAAGAAGAAAACCTTTCAGACCTGGGCAAAGACTTGGGTTTGTTCTTATTCTAAGTTGAAGTAGCTACATGCAATTTTAATATAAAGGATGCTATCTCTTGTCAGTAAGCATTGGCCAGGACAAAAAAGGGAAAAACACTGTGTCCTCACAAGGTAGAAGAGTGAAACAGCAAAAGGTGTCCTAAGCTAGTTATCTCTAGCCCTTTTATAAGGCACTAATCTATTCACAGAAGTGGGGTCCTCATGACTTAATCACTTCTCCAAAAGCCCACATCTCATAATACTACCATAGGTATTAATGTGGGTTAAATTTCTACATGAATTTTGGAGGAGACACATATTAAAACCATAGCACAGATTGAGGATTTTCCTTAATATTCCATTTATTAATTCAAACAGAAAAGTATTTCTATTAGTTGTGCTTTAACAATATTATTTTGTAGGGGCTTTTGTTTTCCTGTAGTTGCCTCATATATTATCGGTAGTGGTGGAGGGAGATCTAGGGTCAAAGTGCACAAAACGAAAACAGGAAAACATTATCAAAGAAATAGGTTGCAGTCCTACTTCTTTCTTACAATAGGTTTCACTTTTCTTTTTTTTTTTTTTTTCGAAATGGAGTCTTGCTCTGTTGCTCAGACTGGAGTGCAGTGACACAATCTCAGCTCATTGCAAACTTTGCCTCCCGGGTTAAGTTATTCTCTTGCCTCGGTCTCCCAAGTAGCTGGGATTACAGACGTGCATCATCACGCCCGGCTAATTTTTGTATTTTCAGTAGAGATGGGGTTTCACCATGATGGCCAGGCTGGTCTCGAACTCCTGACCTCAAGTGATCTGCCTGCCTTGGCCTCCCAAAGTGCTGGCATTACAGGTGTGAGCCACCGTGCAGGGCCAGGTTTTACTTATTTTTCTTGGTGGCAATATAACATCTCGTTAGTCATTTGGGTGATCTAATACACATTTGGGTGAAAGTAGGCATTGTGAATTTCTTTTGAGAGCTTCTGGTGAACAACTGAACATGGCCCAAGGCCTGAAAACTGAATAGCTCCTGCATCTAAAATGACTTCACTGATACATAATGAATTATATTACATATAAAAGATTTTGTTCTACATGTAACAAACAAGATACTAAATTCCTAATAGAGATGTTGTACTTCTGGCCATCAGGAAACACTACTATTTCACATACTAAGACCACTCGTAGGCCTGATTCATCACAGGTTTGGATATTTAATTGCTCTGTGCAATAATTAGAAATCTATTTCTCACATGCACACTGATCCCTTGATGATAAATATAAATTTTATAAGAAGAATCAATTATGCTTATTGAGGAGAACCAATAGTCTTGTGAAGTTATTGCAATCCTCATTTGGCACTTTTGGGATTACTTTACATTGGATCAATATGTTTATTGAAAACCTATTCAGTGAAAGGTGTTAACATCAAAGATGAATGCTATATAATTGTAATGCTATTATCCGAGTATCTCGCTATGTACTGGGAGAGACTCTAAGTGAGGGATGGCCAGCTCTTTTATTAGAATCTGTCCTACCAGGTGACTTGGGACCCTATAGACAGACTATGACTAGTTGTTGGGAGGACTCTGGCAAGGCCTATTTATTTAATAAAGAAAGATGCCTTGAATCAGGATGGCTTGTACCAGGTATCTTTCTTTATTAAAGCACTTCCACTTATTGTCAGAGCTGGAGTTTCAGGCATTAGAAGAGGTCATAGGCAAAAACAGAACATGCAAATTCATGTGTGTAGGACATGCAAGGATATCTAGCATAACGCTGCAAAGGAAATAACTTGTGAATTCCAAGGACTAAGAATCATTGACTGAAAGCCTACATTAAAGTTGTGGACAAGGCCAAGGGAAGAATTTCTGGATAAAGTTGACTATTCAAAAAAATGCTATGGAATACATGGAGGCCTACCTCAAATTGTGCTGCAATATTCAGAGCTATCTGTGTGAATTACACATAGCCCAGAATTGCCAGACATTGTCACATCTACATTTACTCAACTGAGTTAAATAGAGTCTTAGGCAGAAGCACTGCAGTAAAAATGTTATAATTTTAGTCTCAGATTTAACTGGTTTTCAATCCAGACAAATTATTTAAGAACTCTCTGCCTCAGTTTTTTTTAATTTTAATGGAAAACTATCTATCCTATAGAGTAGATATGATGATTTGATAGAATACAATGCAATACAATGCTTTTAATAGGTGTGTTAGCCAGGGTTTCCCAGAGAGGCAGAACTAATAGGATATATATATATATCCTAGGATATATATATATATATCCTAGGATATATATATATATATATATCCTAATTTATATAACTATCTAGACATATGTGTATATTTAGGAATATATATATATATGAAGAGACGTATTATAAGGTATTGGCTTGTATAATTATAAAAGTTGAGAAGTGCTATGATTTTGGATATCCATGAAAGCCAGTGGTGTAGTTCAAAGGTCTAAGAGCCTGAGAGCCAATAGTATAGCTTCCAGTCAGGATCTGGAGACCTGAGAACCAGAAGCACCACTTGCAGGAGAAAATTGAGGCAGCAGCTCAAGCATACAGGCCAAGTTCAACCTTCTTCCCACTTTTTGTTCTATTCAGGCCCTCAACTGATTGGTTGATGTCCACCACATTGAAAAGGGCCACTTTCTTTACTCAGTCCACCAATTCAAATGCTAATCTCTTCTGTAAACACCCTCACAGACACACCTAGACATAATGTTTAACAAGATATTTGAGCATCCCATGGTCCAGTCTAGGTGACATGTAAAATTAACCATCACAATGGTTAACACTTAATGAGTCAAAGGAATACATGTAAAAGCCCCATGTCTAGCCCAAGAATGTGGCCAAAAATGTCAGCTCCCTTTCCCTTTACATCTCTCAGCTTGTGCAACAATTTCTCTTGAGTCTGTGCTTTTTCAGGAAATGATTTTCTGAGAATGAGCCTCTAATCTTGACTAGGTAACTATGATCCCAGATTAGAGTTTCTGGTACAGTAGAGAGAAGTGGGTGAGAACATGGACTCTGAAATGTGACTGGGTGCCATGCTAAGCTTGCACATTAGCAAACTGAATGTCCATAAGGAAAAGGACTTAACCACTCTGGGCCTCAGTCTCATCTGTAGAATATAACCTCCCTCAAAGAACTGATATGATAATTACATGGATAATACATTTAGAGCATTGGCACATAGTAAGCTCTTTTTAAATGTCAGCTTAAAATAAAACAAAAGGCAACTAGGGTAGGATGAAGAACAACATTCTCGACTCAGGAGTCAGAATCCTGGCCTCATCTCTTGTACCTGCTAGGTTTGTAAGTCAAGGAACTTAACTTTACTAAATCTTAGTTTTTGTATTTGTAAAACTAGGTCAACATTACTTACACGGGGGTTCCAAGATGGCCGAATAGGAACAGCTCCAGTCTACAGCTTCCAGCATGAGTGACACAGAAGATGGGTGATTTCTGCATTTCCAACTGAGGTACTGGGTTCATCTCACTGGGGCTTGTCAGACAGTGGGTGCAGGGCAGCAGGTGCAGCACACCAAGCATGAGTCAAAGCAGGGCGATGCATCGCCTCACCCAGGAAGTGCAAGGGGTCAGGGAATTCCCTTTCCTAGCCAAGCAACACGGTGACAGATGGCACCTGGAAAATCAGGTGACTCCCACCCTAAATCTGTGCTTTTCCATTGGTTTTAGCAAACGGCACACCAGGAGATTATATCCTGTGACTGGCTTGGAGGGTCCCACACCCACAAAGATTCGCTCATTGCTAGCACAGCAGTTTGAGATCGAACTGCAAGGTGGAAGCAAGCCTGGGGGAGGGGCGCCTGCCATTGCTGAGGCTTGAGTAGGTAAACAAAGCAGCCAGGAAGCTTGAAATGGGTGGAGCCCACCACAGCTCAAGGAGGCCTGCCTGCCTCTGTAGACTCCACCTCTGGGGACAGGGCATAGCCAAACAAAAGGCAGCAGAAACCTCTGCAGACTTACTGTCCCTGTCTGACAGCTTTGAAGAAAGTAGTGGTTCTCCCAGCACAGAGTTTGAGATCTGAGAATGGACAGACTGCCTCCTCAGGTCGGTCCCTGACCCCCGAGTAGCCTAACTGGGAGGCAACCCCTAGTAGGGGCAGACTGACACCTCACATGTCCAGGTACCCCTCTGAGATGAAACTTCCAGAGGAATGATCAGACAGCAACACTTGCTGTTCAGCAATACTCGCTGTTTTGCAGCCTGCGCTGCTGATACCAAAGCAAACAGGATCTGGAGTGGACCTCCAGCAAACTCCAACAGACCTGCAGCTGAGGGTTCTGACTGTTAGAAGAAAAACTGACAAACAGAAAGGACATCCACACCAAAACCCCATGTGTACGTCACCATCATCAAAGACCAAAGATAGATAAAACCACAAAGATAGGGAAAAAACAAAGGAGAAAAACTGAAAATACTAAAAATCAGAGCACGTCTCCTCCTCCAAAGGAATGCAGTTCCTCCCAGCAACGGAACAAAGCTGGACAGAGAATGACTTTGACGAGTTGAGAGAAGAAGGTTTCAGATGATCAAACTACTCCAAGCTAAAGGAGGAAGTTAGAACCCATTGCAAAGAAGTTAAAAACCTTGAAAAAAGATTAGACAAATGGCTAAGTAGAATAACCAATGTAGAGAAGGCCTTAAATGATCTGATGGAGCGGAGAACCAGGGCACGAGAACTGCGATGAATGCACAAGCTTCAGTAGCCGATTCGATCAGCTGGAAGAAAGGGTATCAGTGATTGAAGATCAAATGAATGAAATGAAGTGAGAAGAGAAGTTTAGAGAAAAAAGAATAAAAAGAAATGAACAAAGCCTCCAAGAAATATGGGACCATGTGAAAAGACCAAATCTACGTCTGATTGGTGTACATCACTGATAAGTGATGGGGAGAATGAAACCACGTTGGAAAACACTCTGCAGGATATGATCCAGGAGAACTTCCCCAACCTAGCAAGGCAGGCCAACATTCAAATTCAGGAAATACAGAGAATGCCACAAAGATACTCCTCCAGAAGAGCAACTCCAAGACACATAATTGTCAGATTCACCAAAGTTGAAATGAAGGAAAAAATGTTAAGGGCATCCAGAGAGAAAGGTTGGGTTACCCAAAAAGGGAAGCCCATCAGACTAATAGCTGATCACTCAGCAGAAAGTCTACAAGCCAGAAGAGAGTGGGGGCCAATATTCAACATTCTTAAAGAAAATAATTTTCAACTCAGAATTTCATATCCAGCCAAACTAAGCTTCAGAAGTGAAGGAGAAATAAAATCCTTTACAGACAAACAAATGCTGAGATATTTTGTTACCACCAGGCCTGCCCTACAAGAGCTCATGAAGGAAGCACTAAACATGGGAAGGAAAAAACGGTAGCAGCCACTGCAAAAACATGTCAAATTGTAAAGATCATCGAGGCTAGGAAGAAACTGCATCAACTAATGAGGAAAATAACCAGCTAACATCATAATGACAGGATCAAATTCACACATAACAATATTAACCTTAAATGTAAATGGGCTAAATGCTCCAATTAAAAGACACAGACTGGCAAACTGGATAAAGAGTCAAGGCCCATCAGTGTGCTGTATTCAGGAAACTCATCTCACGTGCAGAGAGACACCTAGGCTCAAAATAAAGGGATGGAGGAGGATCTACCAAGCAAATGGAAAAGAAAAAAATGCAGGGGTTGCAACCCTAGTATCTGATAAAATAGACTTTAAACCAACAAAGATCAAAAGAGACAAAGAAGGCCATTACATAATGTTAAAAGGAATAAGGAATAATTCAACAACAAGAGCTAAATATCCTAAATATATATGCACCCAATAGAGGAGCAGCGAGATTCATAAAGCAAGTCCTTAGAGACCTACAAAGAGACTTAGACTCCCACAGAATAATAATGGGAGACTTTAACACCCCACTGTCAACATTACACAGATCCATGAGACAGAAAGTTGACAAGGATATCCAGGAATTGAACTCAGCTCTGCACCATGCGGACCTAACAGACATCTACAGAACTCTCCACCCCAAATCAACAGAATATATATTCTTCACAGCAACACATAGCACTTATTCCAAAATTGATGACATAGTTGGAAGTAAAGCACTCCTCAGCAAATGTAAAAGAACAGAAATTATAACAAACTGTCCCTCAGCCCACAGTGCAATCAAACTAGAACTCAGGATTAAGAAACTCACTCAAAACCACTCAACTACATGGAAATTGAACAATCTGCTCCTGAATGACTACTGGGTACATAACAAAATGAAGGCAGAAATAAAGATTTTCTTTGAAACCAATGAGAACAAGGACACAACATATCAGAATCTCTAGGACACATTTAAAGCAGTGTGTAGAGGGAAATTTATAGCACTAAATGCCCACAACAGAAAGCAGGAAAGATCTGAAATTAACACCCTAACATCACAATTAAAAGAACTAGAGAAGCAAGAGCAAACACATTCAAAAGCTAGAAGAAAGCAAGAAATAACTAAGATCAGAGCAGAACTGAAGGAGATAGAGACATAAAAACCCTTCAAAAAATCAATGAATCCAGGAGCTGATTTTTTGAAAAGATCAACAAAATAGATAGACCGCTAGCAAGACTAATAAAAAAGAAAAGAGGGAAGAATCAAACAGACACAATAAAAAATGATAAAGGGGATATCACCACCAATCCCACAGAAATACAAACTCCCATCAGAGAATACTATAAACACCGCTACGTAAAAAAAACTAGAAAATCTAGAAGAAATGGATAAATTCCTCGACACACACACCCTCCCAAGACTAAACCAGGAAGAAATTGAATCTCTGAATAGACCAATAACAGGCTCTGAAATTGAGGCAATAATTAATAGCTTACCAACAAAAAAAGTCCAGGATCAGATGGATTCACAGCCGAATTCTACCAGAGGTACAAGGAGGAGCTGATACCATTCCTTCTGAAACTATTCCAATCAATAGAAAAAGAGGGAATCCTCCCTAACTCATTTTATGGGGCCAGCATCATCCTGATACCAAAGACTGGCAGAGACACAACAAAAAAAGAGAATTTTAGACCAATATCCCGGATGAACATCGATGCAAAAATCCTCAATAAAATACTGGCAAACCAAATCCAGCAGCACATCAAAAAGCTTATCCACCATGATCAAGTGTGCTTCATCCCTGCGACACAAGGCTGGTTCCACATAAGCAAATCAATAAACATAATCCAGCATATAAACAGAACCAAAGACAAAAACCACATGATTATCTCAATAGATGCAGAAAAGGCTTTTGACAAAATTCAACAGCCCCTTCCTGATAAAAACTCTCAATAAATTAGGTATCGATGGGACGTATCTAAAAATAGTAAGAGCTATTTATGACAAACCCACAGCCAATATCATACTGAATGGGCAAAAACTGGAAGCATTCCCTTTGAAAACTGGCACAACACAGGGATGCCCTCTCTCACCACTCCTATTCAACATAGTGTTGGAAGTTCTGGCCAGGGCAATTAGGCAAGAGAAAGAAATAAGGGGCATTCAGTTAGGAAAAGAGGAGGTCAAATTGTCCCTGTTTGCAGATGACATGATTGTATATCTAGAAAACCCGATCAACTCAGCCCAAAATCTCCTTAAGCTGATAAGCAACTTCAGCAAAGTCTCAGGATACAAAATCAATGTGCAAAAATCACAAGCATTCTTATACACCAATAACAGACAGAGAGCCAAATCATGAGTGAACTCCCATTCACAATTGCTTCAAAGAGAATAAAATACCTGGAATCCAACTTACAAGGGAGGTGAAGGACCTCTTCAAGGAGAACTACAAACTACTGCTCAATGAAATAAAAGAGGTTACAAACAAATGGAAGAACATTCCATGCTCATGAATAGGAAGAATCAATATCTTGAAAATGGCCATACTGCCCAAGGCAATTTATAGATTCAATGCCATCCCCATCAAGCTACCAATGACTTTCTTCACAGACTTGGAAAAAACTACTTTAAAGTTCATATGGAACCAAAAAAGAGCCTGCATTGCCAAGTCAATCTTACCCCAAAAGCACAAAGCTGGAGGCATCACACTACCTGACTTCAAACTATACTACAAGGCTACAGTAACCAAAACAGCATGGTACTGGTACTAAAACAGAGATGCAGACCAATGGAACAGAACAGAGCCCTCAGAAATAATATCACACGTCTACAACTATCTGATCTTTGACAAACCTGACAAAAACAAGAAATGGGGAAACGATTCCCTATTTAACAAATGGTGCTGGGAAAACTGGCTAGCCATATGTAGAAAGCTGAAACTGGATCCATTCCTTAAACCTTATACAAAAATTAATTCAAGATGGATTAAAGACTTAAGTCTTAGACCTAAAACCATAAAAACCCTAGAAGAAAACCTCAGCAATACCATTCAGGACATAGGCATGAGCAAGGACTTCATGTCTAAAACACCAAAAGGAATGGCAACAAAAGCCAAAATTGACAAATGGGATCTAATTAAACTAAAGAGCTTCTGCACAGCAAAAGAAACTACCATGAAAGTGAACAGACAACTTACGGAATGGGAGAAAATTTTTGCAGTCTATTCATCTGACAAAAGGCTAATATCCAGAAATCACAAAGAACTCTAACAAATATACAAGAAAAAGCAAACAACCCCATCAACAAGTGGGCAAAGGATATGAACAGTCATTTCTCAAAAGAAGACGTTTATGCAGCCAACAGACACATGAAAAAATGTTCATCATCACTGGCCATCAGAGAATTGCAAATCAAAACCACAATGAGATACCATCTCACACCAGTTAGAATGATGATCATTAAAAAGTCAGGAAACAACAGGTGCTGGAGAGGATATGGAGAAATAGGAACACTTTTACACTGTTGGTGGGACTGTAAACTATTTCAACCATTGTGGAAGACAGTGTGGCAATTCCTCCAGGATCTAGAACTAGAAATACCATTTGACCCAGTCATCCCACTACTGGGTATATACCCAGAGGATTTTAAATCATGCTGCTATAAAGACACATGCACACGTATGTTTATTGTGGCACTTTTCACAATAGCAAAGACTTGGAACCAACTGAAATATCCAACAATGATAGACTGGATTAAGAAAATGTGGCACATATACACCATGGAATACTACGTAGCCATAAAAAATGATGAGTTCAAGTCCTTTGTAGGGACATGGATGAAGCTGGAAACCATCATTCTCAGCAAACTATCACAAGGGCAAAAAACCAAACACCACATGTTCTCACTCATAGGTGGGAACTGAACAAAGAGAACACGTGGACACAGGAATGGGAATATCACCCACCGGGGCCTGTTGTGGGGTGGGGGAGAGGGGAGGGATAGCATTAGAAGATATACCTAATGTAAATGATGAGTTAATGTGTGCAGCACACCAACATGGCACAAGTAAACATACGTAACAAACCTGCACGTTGTGCACATGTACCCTAGAACTTAAAGTATAATTAGAAAAAAAAATTACTTACACATCCAGCCTATTTTACATGATCAAACTAAATGAGTTGAAGGAAGTCAGATGATGAGCCTATTTTGAACAACATTATTATCTAGGATGGTACTATCTTAGTTATTTACAACCTACCAGTGTTATAAGAAAACTGCTATTGAACAGTTAGGTGCATGCTATTTTAAACTCTGCAGGACTTAATAAAGTGTGCACTCAATCTTACAACCACCATCAGGAAGACAAACCACAGAGGTATTGAGCTATGCTTCCATTTATGCTCAATATCTAATTTGTCTCTTGTTTATAATTTCTCTCAGAATTGTTACTAATTTATAAGGAATATTTTCTGACTTTAAGTCCTGGCTTTCAAAGTTAAATTCTGAAGTGTAAGCTCAAGAGACTTTACATTTTTACATTTTTACTAGTAAGATATAATTATATGAGCCTTCTAGAGAAGCCACTTTCACAAGTAAAATATTCCAATTATTCTATAAAAGCTTAAAATTTCAACCACTTTAACCTACTTAAAGAAACAAGAGCTGCTTTCTAGGATTAAGCCAACCCAATTAGTTTGTAGAAATTATAATGATAGTTTTCTATATGTAAGAACGAAAGGTGCCAAGGCTGTGGACAGATGTGACTGATCTTCATGGTGAATTAATCTGAACCTTCCTGCCTTTTGACCCTCAAATGCTCACTGTATGATTTCTTTCCAACCTCATTAACTTAAAATGAATGCATGTATGGCAGAGATAAACAGGGTTAGTGGGAGAACAAGAGGAAGGAGAGAGAGGCTTGCAATGTGTAGAGACTTGTGTTTGTGCTTTTAATGCAGAGAATTTATGTCTGTTTTGGGAACTTCCCTAGATTTATGATATGTTTAGATCTCCAATTTTTCTACACATATGATCTTTTAGAATTGTACCATGCGCTGAAGTTTATTCAGAGTCTATTTCTGTTACTGCTTACAAAGTTGGTATTTCTTTTTAAGCAGTATGACTCTGGACAAACCCAAATTGTCCATGATGATGTATACCAAATTACCTCTAACTAGTTATGCTATCTTAATATTTTTTTAATTTAGCTGGAGTCACTATTTGTATATATTTAAATACAAAATATCTCCTTTATTTTGCCTGTGTTTTATCTTTTTCTTTTGCCTTTCTGGACCTTTTTTGGGCAAATTTCTCTCCTTCTTCCCAACTAACTTACTCTTAAAAAAAGACTTCTTTTAAATCTTCTAGGGTTAAAAAGTTAGGAAAAGGGTAGTTAAACCCAATCATTACATATATATTTGACTAAATTCTATAAATATGTAATAGACTCCTGGGCATAATTTTGGATATGTTTTGGAGTTTTGCATATATATATATATATATATATATATATATATATATATATATATATATATATGTATGTTTTAGAAAGATGTGCAACACTTTGGATATGGACTTTCTAAATGGCTATCTTCATGTTTTCATATGTTCTTTTTGAAAATAATTTGCTAAGAATTTTAAAAGTTTCTAGACGATACTGAGTGTGATACAATTTTATGTGTAAATTTGGCTGGACTATGGTGCCTATTTTTTTGTTTTTGTTTTTCTTTTTCTTTTTTTGTCAAACACTAGTCCAGTTGCTGTGAAGGCATTATTTAGATGTGACTATTATTATGATCAGTTGACTAAAAAAGGAGCTTGCCCTTGGTAATGTGGATGGACCTCATTCAATCAGGACTTAAGAGCAAAACCCTTTGTAATTAATTAATTTTCTATGTGAGGAAATTATAATAGTGCACTACTCTTGTACTTATTGAGCCTCCAACCAGCCTTAACCTCCCTTGATGACTTTCACCTGAACCAGCTGCCAGTCTGCAATGACTGTCAAATGGGTAATTTTTCATTTTTATCATTCTGTCTTCATGAATTGGTTGTCATTCTATTGTAAGGGAGAGTTTTTCCTTCTTATTTGTTCATTCATTTATTTATTATTTGTTTATGCTAGTGTAGATTTATAAATTCCTATTTTTTTCAATTGACCGGTAATTCATTTCTCTCATTATTTTGATGCAAATTGTCACAGGTTTGGCCCCTGAAAGCTGATGCCTCTGTCCATTTGCATTTTCTTATTATCAGGCACAAGATGTTTCAGGCTCATCTTGGTTTTGCCTCACTCCAGCCCTGGAATTAGCTATTTTTCTAAGAATTTCTGACTCCTATTAATGGAGGATGGTATCCAGTCACCAAGATCTGGGTCCTCGATGTATTCATTGCTATTGGGATGTCATTGCTTCAAAGACTTCTAAGAAAACAGAATGGGAAATACATGTACATATATTCATACACCTACATATACATATTTCTCTATAGTCATACACCTACAGAGACATAACTGTCTATATTCGTACACCTACATATACCTGTCTCTCTATATAGTCCTATGTCTAGCTGAGTATTTGCACACAAATAATTCATACTGATACCTCTTATTTAAATTTCACTCCTGAGGATTCTTTCTCTCTACCCATGTTTGTAAATCTCTTCTCTGACAGTGAGAAATCTACTCACTTTATCCTCTTTGTCACACACACACACACACACACACACACACACAGAATTTGCTCAATTTACTTCTTTGTTTATTGTAATGAATCTCCCAACCTCACTTGCAGCTTCTGCATCTGCCAGCTCCATCTATCTCCAACTCATCCAGCTCTTTTGGCTCCCAGGCACAGAGCTGATGTGTTTGTGCTGTGCCCTCACCCCTTCACCAGCCTGCAGCAGCTGCCCTCTATGCTGGGAATATACTCCTTACACACCTGATTGTTATGGGTGATTGCAGGTTCTTTTCAAAATTATTACCTGTCTGAAACTCTTTAAGTCAAATTTCTGTTAAAATAATTCCTAGAAGAGAAGATTTGAAATGTTCTCAACACAAAGAAATGATAAATGTTTGAGGTGATGGGTATCCTAATACCTTGATTCGATTATTACACATTGTATGGATATATGAAAATATCACGTCTCGCATAAATATGTACAATTATTATGTATCAACTAAAAAAACCTTGAAATATAAAAATAATACCTTCTTTTTTAAGCTATCTTGGATCCTCTAGGTAGAAATCCTACTTTTTGTCATTTCTCATTTTTACCTCTGCCCTCAGGACATTAGGTCTTTGGGAGAAAGACCATGCATATCGTTGGTTGATCACTAATCCTTTACAATGAAAATGAACATGGAGAACTTTATGCTAAGTAAAATAAGTCAGGCACAGAAAGACAAATATTCATGATCGGACTTACACATGGAATCTAAAACAATCAAAGTAAAAAAAGCAGAGAGTAAAATGGTGGCTACCGAGGGTTGGCGGATGGAGTCAATGGGGAAATAATGGTCAAAGGGTACAAAGCCTCAAATAGACAGGAGGAATAATTTTTTTCTTTGAGATAGATAGGTTTCATCACGTGGCAAATATAGTAAATAAGGTACATTTCAAAATTGCCGAGTCAATTTCAAATGTTTTTACCACAGTAGTAAGTATTTGAGATCACGAATATGCTAATTAGTTTGGTGTAATTATTTCACATTGTATTCATAAGCGTAACACCACTTTGTACCCCATAAATATATACAATTGTAATTTGTCAGTTTAATTTTAAAATAAATAATCCAAAAATAATGTACTTTTGCAATATTCAATGTATTTATCTGCCCTGTATTTGGAACTTCCAAAAGTTTGGATTAATGTTTTTCTAGAGAAAGCCATATTTTCTAGAGAAAGCCATATTCAAGGAAAAAACATTGAATTAATGATTTATTTTGGAATTTTCTGTTTCCTGAAATCCCAGAGTGTTTTCGCCTATTTGGCAAATTAGAACATCATATGTAGAATTTCATTAGTCATTCACATGTTTTCCAGGCTATGACTTGTCGATCAGAGGCTAGACTCACTCATAATTCAGAGACATTCATTCTCATTATAAACACTCTAAAATGCAATATGTAAAATGCCAATTATTTTTAAAAATCACCATGTGTTAAACAACTGGCTTACAATGGAACAATATAAATATAAATATATATAATGTATAAAGTAAATAAATGTAAGATAAAAATAAATAGTAAATATAATCAAATAAATATAAACCTTTAAGAATAGTCTATGTACTTAATCTCTGGACACCACAGGACAACTGGTGTTTAGTTTTGTTTCTTGTAAACTTTATCTGCTGTCCAAGTAAGAAGCAATAAAGATAAATGTATAGTTATAATTTGAGCTCTATTTTCAACTCTTCTGAGTTTTTAAGGAATTTTCCTTAATAAATGGATATCTAGTTATAATATCTACCAGAGTTGCTTGCACAGAGATGGTCTTAGTTTAATATAGGATTAGTTGGTTTAATTCAACGTAAAGGCTTGCTCCAGCCCAAATTACTGATATGGTAGGCTCTTCATTTATCCTATGTTCCGTCCTCTTAAAACTGACACTCAATGAGAATTGGCAATCATTAGGCCCTTGTTGACATGAATGGGTCACTTCATAAGAACTTGTCATAAGATGGATAAATAGGCTTTCTCGGGTTTCTCTTTCACTCATCTCTTTTTGTTCACTCTCTTTGCACTTCGGAAACTCATTCTTGTTTTAAAGAGCCTGAAGATACAAGAGAAACTGCTCATTAGGTCTTTATGCTTTTTCAGTGGAAACAGCAAATAGCAAAACCTTTAAGAAAAATAATAAACCCATGCTCAGTCTGAAGAACCTATTATTCTTAAAGGCTTTGTTTGCAAAATTCACGATCAGTAAAAGCAAAATATGCTGTCAAAAAGACACTGTGTGTTTACACAGAGCTCAGTAAACTATTTTATACAGTAGTTAAAAAAAACAGTTATGTCTCATCTTCCTTTATAATGTAAGGCACTGCAAATTTCTAGGACTCAAAAGACTACAATAAATGTGCTCCAGGGAAACAATAATATCTCTAAAAATGTGCATATGTATTTTCACCAGAAACATTTACATTAGATTCATTGTATTGGAACAACAATTCTAAGTTTTCTTGCAAAATAAATTTTCTATAATGTACCTAGAAGGCTCAAGAATTAAATGTGATTTGTAAATTCAATGTATATTACAAGGCCAAACACTACCAGTTTGAGTTAGAAATATTATTTTCACTTGAAAGTTTTAATACAGGTTGAACTGAAGACAGAAATTATAAAAAAAACTTATAGAAATTTGATTCAGTCAAAATAATGCCAAAAACTAATTGTGCTGAAGCCTTTCTACCATCCGATAAATAAATTGCTGACAGAGCTTTTGTTTAGAACACAATATAGACTTCCATATCTAACAGGCCTTATTAGTTAGAATGAAATAAAATATTATTTTTAGGACATTGTTCCAGTGTAATAGTCATTTAATGAACTTACTGCAGTTTGGAAAGAGGAAATATTTGAACAAAGCCTCAAATTTCTTACCTGACATAAAAGTTACAAGATATAAAAGTTACAAGACATAAAAGTAGCATAACCTGAGAAGTTTCCATAAACACTGTAATTTATTTCAAACACCAAATTTTGTGGCTGTAAGATAAATCTTGTCTAAATGTAAGACTCAGGAGGAATAATATTTTATAATAAAGGATATGGTGTTAATTAGCAAAATTCTCTAAATATTGAAATGAATTTCTGTAATGTCCCAGAAAGTCAGAATATGTTTGTTTACATTTTTCTGTTTCTAAATGGTTCATTTTAAATTATTCGTTGACTCTCCACTACTAGACATCACAGTGGAAGAAATAATAACTTTGAAATAATAGGCATTGTTTATAAGTGGCCATATGAAAGAGTAGAAAGAACATAAAACCAGGAGTAAGCAGATCTAAGTTCTAGTCCCAGTTTTGCTCCTGTTGGTTGCATAATTTGGAAAAATTCATGTCACCCTTTTGGGTCTCAATTTCCTTTTCACAAAAGGAAGGATTAAGAACAGTAAGCTCTAATACCCTTTCTTGCTGTAAAATTGGTTAAACCTTGTAGTATAGTTTGAAGTCAGGTAGCATGATGCCTCCAGCTTTGTGCTTTTGGCTTAGGCTTGTCTTGGCAATGTGGGCTCTTTTTTGGTTCCACATGAACTTTAAAATAGTTTTTTCCAATTCTGTGAAGAAAGTCATTGGTAGCTTGATGGGGATGGCATTGAATCTATAAATTGCCTTAGGCAGTATGGCCATTTTCATGATATTGATTCTTTTTATCTATGAGCATGGAATATTCTTCCATTTGTTTGTAACCTCTTTTATTTCATTGAGCAGTTGTTTGTAGTTCTCCTTGAAGAGGTCCTTGACGTCCCTTATAAGTTGGATTCCTAGGTATTTTATTCTCTTCGAAGCAATTGTGAATGGGATTTCATTCATGATTTGGCTCTCTGTTTGTCTGTTATTGGTGTATAGGAATGCTTGTGATTTTTCACATTGATTTTGTATCCTGAGACTTGGCTGAAGTTGCTTGTCAACTTAAGGAGATTTTGGGCTGAGATGATGGGGTTTTCTAAATATAAAATCATGTCATCTACAAACAGGGAAATTTGACTTCCTCTTTTCCTAATTGAATGTCCCTTATTTCTTTCTCTTGCCTGATTGACCTGGCCATAATTTCCAACACTATGTTGAATAGGAGTGGTGAGAGAGGGCATCCCTGTGTTGTGCCAGTTTTCAAAGGGAATGCTTCCAGTTTTTGCCCATTCAGTATGATACTGACTACAAGTCTCCAGTAACCAAAACAGCATGGTACTGGTACCAAAACAGAGATACATACCAACGGAACAGAACAGAAGCCTCAGAAATAACACCTCACATCTACAACCATCTGATCTTTGACAAATCTGACAAAAACAACAAATGGGGAAAGGATTCCCTATTTAATAAATGGTGCTGGGAAAACTGGCTAGCCATATGCAGAAAACAGAAATTGGACCCCTTTCTTACATCTTATACAAAGATCAACTCAAGATGGATCAAAGACTTAAATGTAAAACCTAGGACCATAAAAATCCTACAATAAAACCTGGGCAATACCATTCAGGACATAGGCATGGGAAAAGACTTCATGTCTAAAACACCAAAAGCAATGACAACAAAAGCCAAAATTGACAAATGGGATCTAATTAAACTAAAGAGCTTCTGCACAGCAAAAGAAGCTATCATCAGAGTGAACAGGCAACCTACAGAATGGGAGAAAATTTTTGCAAGCTACTCATCCAGAATCTACAAAGAACTCAAACAAATTTACAAGAAAAAAGCAACCCCATCCAAAAGTGGGCAAAGGATATGAATAGACACTTTTCAAAAGAAGACATTTATGCAGCCAAGAGACACATGACAAAATGCTCATCATCACTGGTCATCAGAAATGCAAATCGAAACTACAATGAGATACCATCTCACACCAGTTAGAGTGTCGATCATTGAAAAGTCAGGAAACAACAGGTGCTGGAGAGGATGTGGAGAAATAGGAATGCTTTTACACTGTTGGTGGGAGTGTAAACTAGTTCAACCATTGTGGAAGACAGTGTCGCAATTCCTCAAGGTTCTAGAACTAGAAATACCATTTGACCCAGCGATCCCATTACTAGGTATATACCCAAAGGTTTATAAATCATGCTGCTATAAAGACACATGCACACGTATGTTTATTGTTGCACTATTCACATTAGCAAAGACTTGGAACCAACCCAAATGTCCAATAATGATAGACTGGATTAAGAAAATGTGGCACATACACACCATGTAATACTTACGCAGCCATAAAAAAGGATGAGTTCATTTCCTTTGCATGGACATGGATGAAGCTAGAAACTATTATTCTCAGCAAACTGTCGCAAGGACAGAAAACCAAATACCACATGTTCTCACTCATAGATGAGAACTGAACAATGAGAACACTTGGACTCAGGGGGGGGAACATCACACACCGGGCCTGTCATAGGGTGGGGAGCTGGGGGAGGGATAGCATTAGAAATACCTAATGTAAATGATGAGTTAATGGGTGCAGCAAACCAACATGGCACATGTATACCTATGTATCAAATCTGCACATTGTGCACATGTACCCTAGAACTTAAAGTATAATAGTAATAAAAAATTGGTTAAACCATACTAATCACTAGTATCTTTGTCTCCAAGAATCACTGATGAATTACACATGAAATTAAAGCATATATTTATTAAGTAGTTTAAAAAATGTATTGTGCTGAGTATTGGTGAAGAGGAAATAAAGGATGGAAGTAAACTTATTGGTTCTTTTCATGACCCAAAGCTTGAAGTTCTATGGAGATAACCAGAAAAATTCCTCAGGCAAACCCAAATTTCCCCTTTTCAGTGGAAAAGCAGGTATAACAGTCTTATGTCAACCCAATTCACCTGTGCAAGTTTGCTGGCTCTTCCTGAATCCTCTCTTCTTTTTTGTTTAGTACATCCCATTAACTTTCTCATTCCACTAGGTGGTACTGGATTCATTAGTGCCTTGCTGTGTCATCTTGGTTGTCACCTGATTTTGAAGTGCTTTCTCCTAAATGTATAGAATATTAACTCTGTGTATGTCCTACCTATGATGTGAGTGGCAGAGAGTAGATAAAACATATCAAATTCTTGGAGACTAGGTTTTAGTATCATTATTGAGGTAGCATTATTTGATAGGTCATCCAGCTTAAACAGAGAGTTGACTACTGCAGATTTTTCCATGTGTTAGCAACCTACTTGGAATGATTGAGATGACATTTATGTTTGACTGACTTGTAGAGTCTGGCCTTAGGGACTGTTTTGAAAAGAGTTTGCTTAATTGAAATTTCTGTGTTATGATTTCCCATGTCGAAGCAACTAAGTTCACATTCATTGGTAGTTGTTGAGTTTAGAAAAAACAAAATGTTTGAGTCCTTACAGTATACATGTGACTGTGAACATCAGTCTGCCAAAAAAGCTCTGAGCAGCATGAAACACAGACCCTGACTTGTGCAGGAAAAACTGCCAGACAGAAAGAGAATTATTTGAAATATCAGGGTTTTATGCATTGGTTCTTTTTGCCTTAAGGGAAAGAAGCGGATGTAAAGACATCTGGAAAGCTTTCATATAGTGAGATTTTACTTATCTACCTCTGGGTAGATAGTTTTAATTTCCAAACTCTTTAACTGTAAGGGGAATACATTTGCTCATCACTCTATGGTGTATTGTAGGAAAGAGAGAGGGCAAGACCTATTACAAATAACAGCCCAATGTGACTGTGTCTTCCACATGCTGAAATTAAAGATTTTTTTTTAACTGGAGAACATAAGGGTACCTAAGAGACTTATTTACGTAGTAGTGGATATTAAACTTAAGCCCTTTGTCCATTCTGTAGTGTGAATTGGAGAACATTTTCTGTTTTTCCATCTGCATCTGTTTGCTGTGATAGATCATTGACATTACTTCAATACAAATAAATAATATATGTTTTTAAAATACAACAAGGAAAATAAAGGATTGCAGTGGGACTTGCAATTAGGACATGTGATATAATAGTTCCTCTTCCTTTTAACTCTTCACTGTTATTTTTTTTGTATCTGAGTATTTTACTTTTGTGCTAATTTGAGAATTTGTGCTTGTTTTTTTTGTGTGTGTAACTCTTCTTTGATTGATAATATCAAACTTTACAATTTTTGCAAATGAGTTACAGATTCATTTGTAGAAATGTGTGTGCTGAGAACTACTGGACTAGACCAGAGGTTTTCAAAACACTGGTATAAGAAGTAAAGATCAGAAAGTCTGAGAAAAAAATTTCTCTGATGAACAGACATTGTAAGAAAGAAGCTTCAGTTGTTGAGTGCACACCTTGCATGCTGGCTTCTGTTGTTTATGGGAAGAATTCCTAACAAAACTGGAAAAAATCAGAAAATATATGCATGGAATTTTAACAAGATAGATTTTGAAGTGCTTTTGAAGATAAGAGTTATTTAGGAATAATACAGATGGCTAAAAAAGAAAAAAAAATCTCAAGGTGAACTTTAACTTAGTACAAGTGGCCTGGAAATGATAGTGTGTTATAAACTGTATTCTGGAAATATACATCTGAAACAAGTTTCCTACTTTCCAAGCCCTTACAAACTTCAGTCATTCTACCTAGAATTATGACTAGTCATTCCGTAATTATATGCAAAAAAATAAAATAGAATACGGAACTGCTAAGCCTTATAGCTTGAGTTTCTAAAATGATCTGGGCTGTTTTAATAGAATGTTAAAATATTTATTGCCATGAATAAGCATCTGTTGGTTTGACCTCTCTAAAGTTTTTCTAAAGGAAAAACTTCTCTCTCTCTTCTTGGCTATTGGTTTTCTTTAGTTATTGAGCATTTTAGTTGTAGAGGAGGAGGAGAAACTTCAAAGATATTTCTCTGCCAGGATATCAACAGCTTAAAAGAAGCTACATTGTTTACAAATTTCTTGATGGATTGGTCTCAAGAAATCCCGAGTTTACGGAATTGTTTCAAGTTAAAACTGCTATTGTGAAAACGGTTTGCATACTTTAATTAATTTCTTTTGATTTTAATTTTCAGTAGTGTGAACTTTATACAATTATGACTCCTTTACTATTTATATGAACTGCAGTGCTTTGTAGTATCTATTCCTCATGGAGGAACAATTTACAGATGGCCTATATATTGTGATTTGCTGTAATGGTATCTTTTTCTTTAATATAGGACTAGCAATAACTGTTTTAAGAAGTAGATAAGAATATGCAACAAGAAAGTTTTTAGGCACCACACCCTGCTTTGGCTGATTATCTGCTCCTGCCTCCTTACAGGTAATTTAGACTTATTTTGTGTGGATGGCAGAAAAGCAAAAGATAGAAATAGTTCTCTCTGAGAAGCAAAAAGGAAAACAGTGTCTGACATATAGGAGCTCTTTCAATTTCTCCTTTGGAGGCCAAGAGAGAAAAGAAGAAAGAACATAGGAGGAAAGAGAAAATACACATGAGATCTCTTACTTCACCAACGTAGGTGACTTTTGATTCCATACTCCTTAATTGTAATAAGAATTATCTTAATTAATTATGTTCTGTATTGTTGGAGGAGAAAAGGTCATTCACATCTAGTTTTATATGTATAAGACAATTTACATATTCTTTTCTCATCTGTCCCTAAACTTAAGCATAATTTTGAATTTTATATGTAATTTTTGTTTTATGTTAAAAAGAAGCAAATAATACATATGAAATAAATTGCTTTTTATTTTAACTGGCATTGTCAATTTTATTCTGAATTAGTCAACACATTAATGATATATCTTTTAATATCATTACTTGGAAACTTACAAATTACTTGTGGAAAGTATTTCAGAATTATAGGTGAAATTATTTTGTGGCATACTGAAATAAATTTTGAAAATTGAAAAAAATCTTTGTTATAAGTCATTTGCAACCCTATATGAAGATTGAAAAATACTGCCTTATAGATACGCAGAGGTGGTGACAAGCAGAGGTGACATAGAATAGCATATATCTATCTAGTCATTTAAAGGAGATAGTTTCATTGATTCTAGGTAGATTTGTTCTTCTGTTAAATTGTTTTTTCTTTCCATATAAATGTTGTAGATTATGTTTGTTTAGTTTCTAGAAAGGACAATAATGGCTGCAAATCTCACTTAGATTGTTTATGTTTTGGAAGCCACATTTTGAAGAGGGGTGATCTATCTCATTTTTAAAAACAGTCTTGTTTGTTCTCCCTGCAGCAATCAGTTTATATCACTAGGGGTCAGTCTACATGAACAGATGTCCATATATATCATGGTTTTAGGACAGTGTTATCTCATTTCATGTAGTGTTTTTTCATTTGGGGATATGGACACTTACATAGTAATATACAGCTTCTTGCAGCTTGAATTTTCTAGCTATACTCTTGACAGGACATTTCTCCATGGATTTCCGTATGTAGTTCAAACTGTTCTTTTCCCTTAGCTGCCTGATTTCTTTGTCTGATGTCAGTTGAGAGCCTTCATCTAATTTAATATGCAGGAACAAAAGAATGGCTGATAGCAACGACAGGATCATGGTCAGGGTGTTTTCAAAGCCTTTGTGAATGGACTGAAGGTGACAATTGCTCCCGGAATGACTGGATTTGGGGTATGTCTGACACGTATAGAGGAGGGTGACATTGCAACTATGATGCCGTATCTAACTGCTGGTTTCTATTATTTTCTTTCATGTTCCCTCTGCCTCCTGGAAGACATGGAAGTCTATCTTCACCATGCACCGTTAAGTTTTTCTTGGGCAGGTATGGCATCTTAACCGTCCTTATTTTTACAGTACTTAGCACAATGTTTGGTGTATAGTCGGTAGTGATCATGTTTTCTTAATTGAACTGAACTTGGTAAATGCTAGTATGCCAGAATGACCTACTACATAGTTACTTTTATTGGCAGATAAATGTTACACATTAATGGATATGCCCATGTAACAATGGCCAAAAATAGAACGACCCACTCTACTTTTTCTTTATAAGGATGGAAAAGAATGTACATAGTTTATAAGTAATTGGAATAATTTGGAGCTCATATATAGCCAATAATTGTTCTAAGAAGAATGCCTTCTAATCATTATTATTATTTTTTGGCTTATGGTAACAGAAATTTATTTCTTACGTTCTAGAGGCTGGAAATTCCAATATCAGTTTGCTAGCATCTTTGGGTTCTAGTGAGGGCCTTCTTTCTCCATAGACAGAAGTGTCTCACTGCAGTCTCACACGAATGCCTTCTAATTTTTAGGCAAAACTCAGAGAAATATTCTCATGTCTTAAACTAGAAAAGGCATTCCTGTTAGCTTAGAAACAATAGGTAGTTTTCTGAATACAAGTCTTTTCTGTTTGTTCTCATTAATGTTAAGTTTAACACTACATTGGTCATGTTAGAAAATTAGTTTAAAATCATAGAATCCAGCTTTAGGAATTGGAAAGAACTTATTATTTATTTAGCTCACATCATTGTGTTTGTAGAAAACCTTTTCACTTTTCAACAGAATGAGCATGAGAGTTTTTTGAAGGCCTATGGCTTTAGTAATTATACTTAATGATATCTTACATGCATAAATTATTATATATATAAAATATACTGTACTAAATTATACACTATATTAGACTGTGATCAAAGATGAGATTCAATTTGTGACCACTGGGAGTCACTGTGTAGCTGTCACAGCTAGGAAGGCCCCCACACCATCCACACAAGCTTGCTGGGCTACTGGGGAGATAACACGCTCTTCTCTTTCTCCCAACCTCTGGCATTTATCCATTTGCCAACTGGTAGTTATTAAGTACCCACAGAAAGCTGGGTGCTGTGTTAAATGAGGAAACACAGTGAGAACAAGCTGCCTATGTAGCTAGCCACGCCCACCATCAAAGCTCTTTAAAACTCCTTTATGACTTGGTTTCAATATTCTGGTACATTTATTTATGAAAAATTGTCTTTCCTGCTAGAGATCTTTAAGAGATACATATGTGTTTTTATTTTATCTTGTAATTGTTTATCATATTGGCCAGTATATAATAAATCCTTAAGACATATTTGTTGAGTGACTAGATGCTATGCCAGTTATTTCCTCTAGTTCTTGGATTTGGTTGCTATTTCTTCTTAATTGCATTACCACTTAGTTATTGCAACTTACCCTGCATCTTTATCCTCTAATGATGTTGTAATATGAAATAGAAATAGGTGAACAATTTTCTTTCATGTCAATTGTTTTTCCTCCTTTATTCTGCCATAACAATTTAGGGGTCTTATTTATATCACATCAAAAATGAATGACATCAGTTATCAGTGACAACAATAACAGCCTCACTTCTGTAAGTGGGGACTAGAATTGAACAATGTATACAAAAATGTGTGTGGTATTTGAAAACAGCATTAGTTATTGGAAAGAGAAATAAGTTCATAAGAGGGAAATTTACATTTTAGTTTCATATCTTTCATGGATGAATAATTTCAGTATAAAGGATTGTGTTACTGCTCACTGCTTCCCTTTCTCTATTTGTAAAATCCATTTAATGCCTATTAAATGCCAGATAGAGACCAGGCTATATACTAGGTGTTGCGGAGAGTACAAAGATAATTTAACAGAGCATAATGCCTTATGGTGCTGACTGTACAGTGTAAAAGAAATAAATAAAACTGAACTTTTAAGGCAGTATTTAAGTGCCAAATAGGTGGAAGAGACTATAGAAATTTAGATATGTGATTCCATGTAGCTTAGATCTGTCATGATTGCCTTTGGAAGAAGTCGATTTTGCTTTTGGCTTTAAAGTATCAAGACACTCCATTTGCTGGAATAGAGAGCAGGGGGCATTTTGGGGAGAGTTGTTCAGGGATGTCTTGGCAATAATGAGTACACCTTATGCCTGAGGAGAAGAACATGTATAGGAGAAAGTACAGAAAAGTTTTAAAGAAGTGATGAGTTTATTTAATAAAAATCTTGAATATATTTTTAATCATGAGTTTAGGGACCATAACGGATTATGCTTAAAATTGGGTTTTGAAGGTCACTCCTTATTTGATATCCTACTCCTCTTGCTGGAACAATTGGTTCTTAGTAGGTACTGCATCTAGAGTTACTGTGTTCAGTAGCTTTTTCCTGAGGTACTAATGATACAAATCTAAATATTGCCAGAGGTCTCGATTTTCTTGCAAAAGTGTTGCATGTCATCCAAAGAGCCACTGCCTTTGAGTGGGTACCTCTGGAACATTCGAGATCTGAAAATAACCCACTGTTTGGTCACCTAATTTGTTACAAAGAGAGCGAAGAGCTCCAAGTCTTATCCTGGATTTTCAGCTTCCCCTTCGGCTTCTATCAAAAAAATGTTCTCCAGGAAAACTTTCTGCCAGACGAACCACCACAGATGCTGAGCTTGTATGATAAAACACTGGGGTGCTTGAGGATAAACTGATGGCAGGAAAAGTTGCTTGTTGAATTAATTCATTTAGATTTACATCTCTCTTGTAACTATTAACTAGCAATGTGCACTTCAGGTAAAAATACAATTCTACTCCTTTTCTATTTACATTCTTCTTACCTTCCCTCCTTCAAAGGACTGACAATTCAGGGGAACAACACTTAATTCCTGTAACTGAGAATAAACATTTGTTCCCATAACTGCAGAAAGACTTCTGTTCCTGTTAATGCCAATGGATTTTTAGTCCCATTAAGGGAAATAGCTCTTTATTTTCATTAATGTTGTAGAATGAGACGGCTGGAAGCTCACAGGTAATAAAGACCAGATAAACCGATTCAAAGAAGAAAACCATAAAGAAAACAATTGATTCATGGTAATGATTTTTTGCTTGTCCAAAAAGTTTCTATAATTATTTTTTCTCCCATGGAAGTGATACTGAAGAAACTTATAGAAAATGTATGTGTGTGTGTGTGCGCGTGTTTGTGTTTGTCTGATTTTAGGCTGTTTATTTTATGAATTACTTTACATACTCTGATCTCTTGTTTAAAAAGCACATTGTTAAAGCTACAAAAGGAGATCAATCACACCTTTTAAGTAACAACTAGAAGGTAAATAGAGTGTACAAAAACATCTTACTTTTCATTCAAAGGACTGATAAGAAACTGCTAATCCTATGTGTATCTCAGGCTTGTAGTATAATTGGGGAAAAAATTCTCAACAGGTATATATTACTTAATTCAATAGGTATTTGTACGGATGTTTCTATTTATTTTGGAAAAATAATATCAATAAATAAATTGTAATAAATTGGTCCCTAAGTAATTTCATGCAAATGTATTTAAAAAATTATTATGTGATTGTACCGAAATAGTTCCTTATGAAAAAGATAGCAGGAATTTTTTTGGTTTATTAACTTTTTAAATATTACAAATAACCTTTACATATATAAAATATAAATGATATTTAGTAAGCCTGGATTTTTCATGTATCAGGTTCTCTTAAAATTGGTCAAATAGGCAAATTTGTTTTATTTGGTATGGGGAATCTCTTTTATTTGTTTTGAGGCACCTATAGCTTTTCTTTAAAATGTTGCCAAAAATCATATTTATTGGTGAGCTTGGCCTATTGAACTACAAGAACAGAGTAGATATACTAGATATAAAAGCCATTAAAACAAATTAAAATTAAACAATTTGGTCAGTCATGAGCTGAATTTTTTTTAAAACACAGTTATTTGCAAGAATTTTCACTTTAAATATAAGTTGTGGATGGTATGAGGCCAAAACTCTGTAAAATATAGCTACAATACACAATACAAAAAATCAAATGGGCCGGGTGCGGTGGCTCACGCCTGTAATCCCAGCACTTTGGGAGGCAGAGGTGGGCGGATCACTAGGTCAGGAGTTTGTGACCAGCCTGGTCAAATGGTGAAACCCTGTCTGTACTAAAAATACAAAAATTAGCTGGGCGTGCTGGTGGGCGCCTGTAATCCCAGCTACTGGGGAGACTGAGGCAGGAGAATTGTTTGAACCCAGGAGGCTGAGGTTGCAGTGAGCTGAGGTCCTGCCATTGCACTCCAGCCTGGGCAACACGGTGAGACTCCGTCTCAAAAAATAAATAAATAAAATTAAATTAAAAAATCAGATGAACAAATTTGACAAATCTGTGAAGTTATTAAGTACAAAAAAAAGGATGGTGAAAATACCTAAGGTATTTTACTTTCTATTCTCCAAAATCCCTCATGGGTTGGGCGGGCTGGCTCATGCATGTAATCCCAGCACTTTGGGAGGCCAAGGAGGGCAGATCACCTGAAGTCAGGAGTTTGAGACCAGCCTGGCCAACATGGTGAAACTCCATCTCTACTGAAAATACAAAAATTAGCCAGGCATGGTGATGCGTGCCTGGAATCCCAGCTACTTAGGAGGCTGAGACAGAAGAATCCCTTAAACCAAGAGGTGGAGGTTGCAGTGAGCCGAGATCGCACCAGTGAATTCTAGCCTGGGTGACAGAGTGAGACTCTGTTACAAAAAAAAAAAAAAGAAAGAAAAAATCCCTTACTGAGTATGTATTATAATTTATCTTTGTATTTCAAATCTACCTCTGCCTGCACACCCATCTGTCATCAGGGTCTAGCACTGGCTGGCAGTAAATCTTATTGTGTGAAAGGAATAATTCAATGAGCAAAACAGTGGTATAAGTGTAAACTGAGCTCATATATTGCCATTTGGTCTTGGAGCAGAAGAAAAATCATTTTATAAATAAATAGTCATTTGTCTCCAAATATTCCTTAGATAAATAGAGTGGTAATTTTCAGGTTATATCCCACTGAGAGCATAAATAAATTTCTCTTTTAAAAATACATTTTTTCTACCAAGCAGTGAAAAAAAAATACTTTAGGAAAAAACAAAACAAAACTAAGAAATAAAGTTAAAAAGAGCTTTAGAAATTATTGTACTGGTCAATTATAATAATAACAAATAATAAGAAATAGAGTTAAAAGAAGCTTATAAATTATTGTACTGGTCATTAATAATAATAATTAATAATAATGGCCAGTACATTTTCTTCAACATATAGATGGGGAAACTGAGCTACGCAGAGAGGTAAACACATTTGTCAACTTTCTTCTTTTATTCTGGAAAACATTTTCCTCATGCATAAAAGTAGCGTGTAGCATAGAACTCTGCTGTTCAATGTGGTAACCATGAGCCATGACAAAGCACTTCAAATTTGGCTATTGACACACGTCGAAATGATATTTTGGGTATATTGAGCTAAATAAAAATAATTTAAAAATGGATTTGACTTATTTATTTTTACCTTTTAAAACTGCTTACTAAGAGATTTGAAATTACACATGTGGCTCACCTTATATATTTTTGGACAGTGCTGGCAGTCCATAAACCCTGTAGAATAGTAGGTACCAATACCCACTTCAACAGTCATCATGGGTCACCTTGTTTCATTAATACCGTATGTACTTTAGCACTGCCCATGGTCATGCAGATAATTAGTCCCAGATTTGGCATGAACACCTGGTTCTTGGCTATTGTTCTTTTTACTACTATTAATTGAAGCATTTTGTGTGTGTGTGTGTGTGTGCATGCCAGTTTTACACCTCCTAATTATTTAACCCTATATTTCTTAGTTTTACTGATTTTAACAGCTTAATAATGTATTTATTTATGTTTATTTATTCATTTTCTTTGTTGTTTATTTTAATTTTATTGATAAAAATTTTTAGATTAAATTCTCCAATTTACTTTTACTAAGTACAGTGGATTCATTTGTAGATAGTTGCTCATTTTCACGCGTGGCTATGTGAAGAGACCACCAAACAGGCTTTGTGTGAGCAACAAGGCTGTTTATTTCACCTGGGTGCAGGCGGGCTGAGTCCGAAAAGAGTCAGCAAAGGGAGATAGGGGTGAGGCCATTTTATAAGATTTGGGTAGGTAAAGGAAAATTACAGTCACAGGGGGTTGTTCTCTGGCGGGCAGGGGCGGGGAGGGGGTCACAAGGTGCTCAGCAGGGGAGCTTTTGAGCCAGGATGAGCCAGGAGAAGGAATTTCACAAGATAATGTCATCAGTTAAGGCAGGAACCAGCCATCTGGATATGTATGTGCAGGTCACGGGGGATATGATGGCTTAGCTTGAGCTCAGAGGCCTGACATTCCTGTCTTCTTATAATTAATAAGAAAAATAAAACGAAATAGTGGTAAAGTGTTGGGACGGCGAAAAATTTTTGGGTGTGGTATGGAGAGATAATGGACGTTGTTTCTCAGGGTTGCTTCGAGGGGTATTAGGGGCGGTGTGGGAACCTAGAGTGGGAAAGATTAAGCTGAAGGAAGATTTTGTGGTAAGGGATGATATTGTGGGGTTGTTAGAAGAAATATTTGTCATGTAGAATTATTGCTGATGGCCTGGATACGGTTTTGTATGAACTGAAAAACTAAACGGAATAAGAGAAGGAGAAAAACAGGTATTAAAGGACTAAGAATTGGGAGGACTTAGGACATCTAATTAGAGAGTGCTGAAGGAGGTTCAGCATAGCCTTGCAAGCAAATATTATTTATTTACTTTAAGAGTTAAGAGTGGCGGTTTGGGGATAGCAGCAGGAGATATCAGCTGTGATGGCTTGGAGAAACAGTGTAAACCGGCAGTGTAAACAAGAGCAGGGCATGTATGAGTAGTTGAGAATGGTGAATAGGAGTATGATTAGACAGAAAATAGTAGGGATGACAAGTTTTGGGGCACAGTCCAAGTTGATCTGGTGTCTGGGATGAGACTGGGGCCTAATAAAAAGAGCATCTATACAGGAGATCAAATGGGCTCCTGTTCACCTTGTAGCATTCTGAGAACAGGCCTGAATTCTTAGAGGGGAAAGTGGTAAAAGTATTCTCTAGTCCTTTTTAAGTTGGTGGCTGAGCTTGGTAAGGTGTGTTTTTAAAAGACTATTAGTCCGTTCTACCTTTCCTGAAGACTGAGGACTGTAAGGGATATACAAGTTTCACTGAATACTAAGAGCCTGAAAAAATGCTTGGCTGATTTGACTAATAAAGGCTGGTCTGCTATCAGACTGTGTAGAGGTGGGAAGGCCAAACAAAGGAATTATGTCTGGCAGAAGGGAAGAAATGACCATGGTGGCCTTCTTAGACTTTGTGGGAAAGGCCTCTATTTATCCAGTGAAACTGTCTACTTAGACTAGGAGGTATTTTAGTTTCCTGACTTGGGGCATGTTGAGTAAAGTCAATTTGCCAGTCCTGGGTGGGGGCAAATCCTTGAGCTTGATGTGTAGGGAAGGGAGGGGGCCTGAATAATCCTTGAGAAGTAGTAGAATAGCAGATGGAACACTGATAAGTTATTTCTTTGAGGATAGATTTCTACGATGGAAAGGAAATGAGAGGTTCTAAGAGGTGGGCTAGTGGCTTGTACTATAGCATAGCCTGCCTTTGCTAGTGAGTGGCTATTAGGCCTGGTGGAACTGCCATCAATAAACTAAATGTGATCAGTGTGAGGAACAGGAAATAAGGAAATATGGGGAAATGGGGTGAACATCAGGTGGATCACAGAGATACAGTCACGAGGGTCAGGTGTGGTATCCAGAATAATGTGGGAGGCCAGATTGAAGTCCGTGCTGGGAACAATGGTAATCGTGGGAGACTCAACAAAGAGTGAGTACAGCTGAAGGAGCTGGGAAGCAGAAAGTATATGCATCAGGTATGAGGAAGAAAATAGATTTTGGAAGTTATGAGAACTGTAGAGAGTGAGTTGAGCATAGTTTGTGATTTTTAGGGCTTCTAAAACTATTAAAGCAGTGGCAGCCACTGCATGCAGACATGAGGGCTAGGCTAAAGCAGTAAGGTAAAGTTGTTTGGACAGAAAGGCTACAGGGTGTGGTCTCAGTTCTTGTGTAAGAATTCTGACTGCACTAACCATGCCTAGGAAGGAAAGGAGTTGTTTTGTAGAAGGGATTGAGGTTTGGGAGATTAGTCTAACACGATCAGCAGGGAGAGCACCTGTGTTTTTATGAGAATTATGCTGAGATAGGTAACAGATGAGGATGAAATATGGGCTTGACTGAAGTAATGGGGGCTGTCTGTGAAGCCTTGTGGCAGTACAGCCTAGGTAATTTGCAGAGCCTGATGGGTGTCAGGGTTAGTCCAAGTGAAAGTGAAGAGAGGCTGTGGTGAAGGGTGCAAAGGAATAGTAAAGAAAGCATGTTTGAGATCCAGAACAGAATAATGGATTGTAAAGGGAGGTATTGAGGATAAGAGAGTATATGGGCTTGGCGCTATGGAGTGGATAGGCAAAACAATTTAGTTGATAAGGCGCAGATCCTGAACTAACCTGTGAGACTTGTCCAGTTTTTGGACAGGTAAAATGGGGGAATTTTAAGGAGAGTTTACAGGCTTTAAAAGGCCATGCTGTAACAGGCAAGTGATAACAGGCTTTAATCTTTTTAAAGTGTGCTGCAGGATGGGATATTGGCATTGAGCGGGGTAAGGGTGTTAGGTTTTAATGAGATGGTAAGGGGTGCATGATTGGTCGCCAAGGAGGGAGTAGAGGTATTCCATACTTCTGGGTTAAGGTAGGGGGATACAAGAGGAGGATGGAAAGGAGGCTTTGGATTGGGAAGAAGGGCGGCGATGAGATGTGGCTGCAGTCCAGGAATAGTGAGGGAAGCAGATAATTTAGTTAAAGTGTCTCAGCTGAATAAGGGGACTGGGCAGGTGGGGATAACTAAAAAGGAGGGCTTAAAAAAGTATTGCCTAAGTTGGCACCAGAGTTGGAGAGTTTTAAGAGGTTTAGAAGCCTGGCCGTCAGTACCTACAACAGTTATGGAGGCAAGGGAAACAGGCCTTTGAAAAGAAGGTAATGTGGAGTGGGTAGTCTCCATATTGATTAAGAAGGGGACGGACTTACCGTCCACTGTGAGAGTTACTCACAGCATCCGTGATGGTCCTGTAGGCTTCCGAGGTGATCGGGCAATGTCAGTCTTCAGCTGCTAAGCCGAGAAGATCTGGGAAGGAGTCAGTCAGAGAGCCTTGGGCCAGAGTTCCAGGGGCTCTGGGAGTGGCTGCCAGGTGAGTTGAACAGTCCGATTTCCAGTGGGGTCTGAATCATGGCACCAAATTTCATGCACATCCCTGTGAAGAAACCACCAAACAGGCTTTGTGTGAGCAACAAGGCTGTTTATTTCACCTGGGTGCAGGCGGGCTGAGTCCGAAAAGAGAGTCAGCAAAGGGAGATAGGGGTGAGGCCGTTTTATAAGATTTGGGTAGGTAAAGGAAAATTACAGTCAAAGGGGGTTGTTCTCTGGCGGGCAGGAGTGGGTGGGGGTGTCACAAGGTGCTCAGCAGGGGAGCTTTTGAGCCAGGATGAGCCAGGAGAAGGAATTTCACAAGATAATGTCATCAGTTAAGGCAGGAACAGGCCATTTTCACTTCTTTTGTGGTGGAATGTCATCAGTTAAGGCAGGAACCGGCCATCTGGATGTGTATGTGCAGGTCACAGGGGATATGATGGCTTAGCTTGGGCTCAGAGGCCTGACACTCATACTTGCAAAATACTGATCATCTGAAGATACCAAAGGAGTTAGTGCCTTCTTGGCTGTATTTTTTATTTATAGTTTTCATGAAAAGTTCCATTATCCTCTTAAAGTAGATGTTAAAAAAGCATGTGTCCAATAATCAATAAGCACATCTATTGAATATTTACCATGGAAGACACATACATATGTGCACACACACATACACACACACACTACATCATTTCAGGAGTTAGTAATCTTAGAGTGGGAAGAGAGAGGAGGAAGCACAATTTTGTAGACAGGCTGGACCTGAAGTGTCAGGAAGATATCAAAGTAGAAAAGTCTAGAGATTAGCAGGAGCTGAGCTACTGGGGAAAACATTTCCTATCTGCACTTTCTCTTCGCTGATGACTTCTTGAATAGAAAAGGAGAAAATTTTGTTGAAACTATTAATTATGCTATTTCAGAGAATACTTACAATTACATTTCTGCCCATATTTTTATGTACCTTTGTTGTAGTTATTTCAAAGCAAACATACTGGTGTATTTTGAGGGGATATAAATCATTAATAGAATCTATTTAGTTCATTTTTAACTTAATTACAAATTCAATTTAGCACATTTGCATATTAGGAACTGAAAAGGGCTTTATCACAGAAAATCCAGGAGTTCTGAGTTTTTCCTTCTACCTAGGTTGAAACTTAGAAAAGTTATGTGATGTTTTGCTGGTACTCCTAACAAATGTACCTACCCTTAGGAGTGATTTGGGCGGAAGAAATGATGCCTGTATGTTGGCTGTCTTCTGGGTACCCTACAGATCCACATCTATCATTCTTTGGTCCTGGGAAGCTGATCTGTAGAAACTATGTCACCTGGTTCCCTTGCCCTCTTTCTGCCCTCTAATTTGGTGAGAACAGTGGGAAATATCAGCAGGAGATGGGAAGTAGGGAGTGAATTCAGGATGTCTATTCCCTTGTTCTTTTCCTGTATGATTGCTGAGGGTGGCTGCTGTTTACCCAGCCCCTCTGTCTCTGGATTTTGGCCATCAGTCACTCCTCTGCAGACTTAGGGCTGCTAACTAACACCTTCCCCCTTAAATGGCCAGGGGTACTACCTTATACCTAGTGGGTTTTCCACTCTTGCGCAAACATTTGTAAAATCCTTTTATTAAACTGCCCTCAAGCTATCCCAATTTTAATGTGCCATTTGTTTCCTGGGGAAACCTGAAAGTGTATGAGGATTTCCAAACTTGACTCTGTATGTTAGAAATCCAATTTGACCCTGGACACCTCAGTGTACTTCTTCGAAAGCTGAGTTTCTACTTGGAAAAGAAATTGGCAGGTGGCTGGAGATTCTGGGACATTGAGCAAAGGCTAATTAGAACAAGGATTTTCTCAAATTTCTTTCCACCTAAAGAATAAAATGTTACGTTTCACGGAATAAAATATACAAGTGATATTCCAGAATATACTTGAAGACTAAAGAGTTTTTCAAGGTATACTTGCAATTAAACAAAGGAATGAGATGGCAGCTGCAGCCCTGAAGTCCATGCATTTGGACTTGACTTTAAATCGATGCCACAGACACATTTGGCCTCACATTGCTAGCAACACACTAAGTCCTAGTGCACTTAAGAGCTTCAGGTTTTTAATAAGCATTTTCTTCAAAGCAGTGGCTTGATTTGCTCTGTGATTTTTGTCAAGTGCATATCATATCAAAGGATAAGTGTTTGCCAAAGCCTTTCTTCAGCCACAAAAAGGGAAGTTTTGTTTGAAGAATGTCAAGCTGGCTGCAGTGACCAGCTCCCACTGGGAAGATGAAAGGAATGATTGGATTTCCTGTTACTCTTTTGTTGTTGTTTGTATCCCTCACATATTTTAATCAACATGAAAGAACATGTTGCACTGTGAGAGCAGTGCAATTTGAGAAAGCCATTTAGAGGCCGCCAAATACATTTGCAACTAATAAAGTTGTATTTGTCTATGGTGTCAAAGACCAGATTTATAAGAGATGATTAATAAGGGCCAGAATGCCAGACATGGAGAGATAATCAGGAGATTATTTTGAAGATGGATTTCTCCACTGCAGATTCTTGATATGCATTATGTACATTTCAAGAAACAAGATAGACTATAAAGGCTAATTTTGGTCCAATGACAATGTAGCATTGAGACACAATTATGGTGTAAACTGCATACATTTTCTATATACAAGTACACATGGCCTAATAAATCAAGAATAGTACTTTCAAATTGAGAATTAAGATTTCTTTATTAATGATCTGTGTTTAATATATGAAAATATTCATCTTAATTTATTGTTGTACATTTTTTTCTTATTAAATTTCTGTTATATATATATAATAGGCCCTCAATATGTGTTTGTTCAAGTAATGAATGACTAGATAGTTCAAGAATATGCATTTTTAAGTTTTTAAATCATTAAAAATTCTGTTACATAATGATCCTTGTGCCCTGAAGTTTTATAGTATTGTAGATCTTTTTTGTCTTACACTTTTTCTTCTTCCTATTTTTAAAAATTATAGAAGAAGGTTAAGTTCACCATATTCCTCAGTGTATATAATATGCTAGGCACTGGTCTGAACAAAGTCCTGCTCGTATCTTGGTCATTGATGGATTTCCTTTATTCCCATTGTTCACCACCTTTCTCCACAAAAGACACCATACTGTATATCCTTCTGCTCTTATGTTCTTACAAAATGTATATTGCTGTTTCACATGTCTATTTTTAATTTATGAAAATAGCAATGGAATAGATATTGTCCTTACCATTTTCATTCATAAGTATGTTCTTACAATTTTTCCTTTTGGCTATGAGCAATATACTCCATTGCTTCTAGCCAACAGTGCACTGTAATGGGTCTTCACCATACAATAACTACACAGTTCCTTGATGTTATCACTGTATTACAAATTCGTCTTCTGATGTATAGGCCATCCACCTTTCTACCTGTGGTTCCTGAGGGTTCTCGTGATCCCACAAGCCTGCCAATGCTTGGTGTTATCTAGCTTTTAATTTTGGTCATTATGGACATAAAATGATGTCTCATTGCTTCAGTATGCATCTTTCTGATTAAGTCTGAGCATCTTTTTATGTGCTAATTGGCTTTGTAGACCATCTCCTCTGTAACTTGACAGAACATATACTTTGCCCAGTTTTCAACTGGGATTTACGTTTTCACCTTTTTTATTTTCTCAGGATAGTCTATGTATTAGACCTTTGATAGTTTTAGTGAAAACTTTCAGTCTTCCATTTTCTCTGATCTTTATTTATGAGGTCCTTTCTTGAACAAAATCCTTAAGTGTAGTATGAGAAGTTGTGTCTTGTGTATGTGTATGTTGTTTTGGGGTTTAAGAAGTTATTTCCCACCTATCTGTCCCCAAGTTATTCTTCTGTAT
This sequence comes from Homo sapiens, assembly GCF_000001405.40. Lineage (NCBI taxonomy): Eukaryota > Metazoa > Chordata > Mammalia > Primates > Hominidae > Homo > Homo sapiens. Next base: position 90,079,586 of record NC_000003.12, on the reverse strand, counting down.
TTTCTATTATTGACTTCATAACTTTATTTTACACATTTGAATCCTTAATATATTTAGTCTACATTTATATGTGATGTGGATGGAAGTCCTGTTTTTTTTTTTTTTCTATATAATGCCAATTTTCCCAACTCTTTTATTAAAAAATTTGCCATTTGCCCTTTGGTGGTTGTGCTGGCACCTTTATCGTGTGTTTCTGCTCATGGGTTTTTATCTGAGCTCTTTATTGTATTATATCAGACCACTATCTATTCTTGTGCCAATAATATACTGTCAATGCAGTATTTTGTTTAACTAGGGCTTTATAGTATAGTATGAACTAATATCTGGTATGTCAAATTTTTCTTTTTTAAAATATACACTTTGCTATTTGTAGACCTTTGTTTTCCATACAAATTTTAGTGTAAATGTATTAAAAAATTACTACTGTATTAGGATTGTACCAAATTTATAGATTAATTTAATTTAGACAACTTTTAAGTTGTGTCACCCAAGGGCATGGTATATCACTTCAGTTATTCAGCTCATCTATGCCCGACCTGAGAGTTTTGAAATTCCTCAGAGCTTTGAGCATTATATTTGAAATAATTTCTAGAAATTTATAGTGTGAAAGTAATGTCACATTTCTATCATATTTTTAATTTTTTGTTGCTTGTAAAAAGAGATTCTATTGAATTTTGCAATTTGATTTATATCAGGAAACCTTGGTCAATTTCTTCATAGTTCTAATAGTTTAGCCTATGATTTCATTTATTGTCCTGTGTAATGACCAATTCACAGAGTGTGGCTGTTTATCAGAATTTATTTCTGGCTGATTACAGTTGTACTCTCTTTTTTCTTCCTTTGGTTCAGCCTTCTAGATTGTAAATATTGTCAAGGTATTTGATAATGATGAGTTTATAAAATTTTTACAACAACCACTTTTATTTATCTTCTTATTTTAGTACTTTCTTCAAGATTGTTTTCTCGGTGGCTTTATGGTGGCAAATTATCTGCGGCTTTATATGCCTGAGAGGATTTGGCATTCCTTAATATTTAAATCAGAAGGCAACTGGATGTATAATTTTTACAATAACATTATTTCCTTAAAATACAGTCAAACCTTGTTACAGAGAAGTCTAAGGTCAGCTGATTTTTATCATTTTGTAGATGATAGCTGCCTTTCCTTTTGGTAAACTTTGGAATTCTTATCTTTGCTATTCTTAAATACCACAATAATGTGTCTAAAAGTGAAGTTTTTTATTATCTGATTTATTTATCACTCTGAAGCCTTTCAATCTGGCATCTTTCACCTTTTTCTAATTTTAGAAAATTTATCTTCAATGTTTCTTCTTTTCTTTTGTAACTTCTATATTTTAGAGATTCCCATCATCTAGATACCGGCACTAGAACTCTCCATATCTCTTTAATTTACACATAATATGATTTTAAATTTTTTATACCTTCTGGAAGGTTGCCTAAATATTATTTCCTGCTTAGTAATTTGCTCTTAAATTATGTATATCATGCTGTTTATTCAATCTTTTTTCTTTCTTTAAACTATTGTCATTTTTGTACCTAATGTTTGATTCATTCTTCAAATTCTTATTCCTATTTAATATTGCTAGCATTTTTCTTCATATATTTAATAATATTATTATATATAATTTAATTTTTTTATTCTTCTGTTTATTAGCCTGTGGGGTTATCAGCTACTCTGCTGATAATATATATTAGAAAACACTGAGGGTCAAACTTTAGTTTGTGTCTCTCAGTAAATTTTGGGAATAGAAGGGGATGAAGCTCAGGATGGAGAGTTTCAGGTACTAGAACTACTGTTGTTAACCCTTACTTATCATCTACAGATGAGGACCATTAAGGATAAGAGCACTTCCTTATTATCAGACCACTCTTTTGGTCAGTGACCCACTTTTAAATTCTTGGAAAGAAAGAGAGAAGACAGTTTCCTTAGTTTGTAATCCACCAGCCTTGGGGGAAAGACAGCATTAAGAAATGAATACTGAAGGGCAGAAGATCAGCCTGGGTATGTTGGAATCCACTTCTCACACTGATAGGATTTTTGCAATAACCTGAAATTATTTTATAGATATTGGTGGCCTAAGTTGTTATGAGCATATGGCTTCTGTGGCCAAGTGGCAAGTGATGATTTTCTCAAGTTAACACAGGATAAAGAAAAAAAATATATAAATGTTTTCCTGAGTATAATGAATAGATTAAAACAATCTATAGTCTCTCTGGTGGTTTTTGTTTTTTTTTTTTTTTCAGGTTTCTGTTGTGATTGGTTGTTTGTGCTTGTACCTCTGATGCATTCATTTTTTGTTGTAATTTCAGTAGTTTTTCAGGAGAAATCCAGCAGAAATCTTTTCACAGCTTTTCTTCCCACTGTTTGTCTTTCCCTCCCTCCCTCCCTCCCTTCCTTTCTTCTTTCCTTCCTTCCTTCTTTCATTTCTTCCTTCCCTCCTTCCATATCCCTCTCTCTTTCCCCTCCCTCACCACATCTCTTCTCTTCCCTTTCTCTCCTTTCCTTCTCTCCCTTATCTTTTCTTTTGCTTCTCTTTTCATCCTTTCCCTTTCCTTCTGGTCCCTAAACCTTGGACAAGGGAAGCAGTAAGGTTAGAGGAAATAAGAACTGGATTTAGCAGCAGCACAAAATTGTTCTTTTACTCCTTCTCTTGTTTCTCAAGCCCAGCCCTACAGTTTTCTAGTATGTGCAAAATCTTGGATTAAAATTTGAAATGTCTCCAATAAACTACTCAGTTCTCCTCTACTGAAGGTGTTTGCCCAAGGAGAGTAGCTATCATTGACATTGGCGATGTTCTAGAAATTTACTTATTCATCTTGGATCAACACATGGAATTAATTGTTGGTTTAACATCAGCTAATAAAGCATGTTGCCCAGACATCAATTTTTTTTTCTTGCAGCAATAATTGAAATCAATTAAAAAGGAGATATCTTCCATAAACCTTACACAGAGAAGGAGAGATATGGTTTTCCCTCAGACCTTTGGCATGAAAACTGCAATGCAAAGTACTAGAGATTTAATGTATCAAGTTTTGTTCTTTTTGGCTAATACAAATTTTTATCTATTGAGCTCCCAAACTCAACACTCCATAAAACTGAAACAGTTCTGTGATGAGGAAGAGAAGTGGTAACTATTTAAAGCAAATGCCTACTTTGGTATAGACACACACAACACTTTCATTTGCACATACATTGCTAATGTTTTACTCTGAAACCTTGTATTTCTTCACACATTTGGTTAACCATATGCCTTTGATGACAATCCAATTTTAAAGCATGGCTTCTTATGGGGAATGAGAAGTATAATTAAGCTAAAATTTTAGACTAGGTCTGTAATGCATTTTGATTTCTCATGAGGTTCTAATCCAGTTTACAAAATGTTTCCAGATGTACAATCTAGTTCCAGATCAATTTTTTATGGATGTACAGAAATCGTAATCCTAAATTATGAAAATATAATATTTATAGTCTTTGTTATGGTAGCTCCATTTGGAACATCATCTTGAAATTATTAAGATCATGGAAAGTTGTACAGAGCAATTTAAGATTTTTAATTTTGTATTTGTGCTCAAAATGAGTGATTGTAAACTTTGAATATCCTTATAGATGAATCTTAGAGATTTAAGATATTCACATTTAGTCTATTTAATGTTTTATTTAATTTTCTCTTTATTTAATCTTCTATCATATCTTGAGAGATGAGTCATGTTGTTAGGGTCAGAATTAGGGGAGAGAGCTGGTACAATATATTTGTAATTTTAGGCAAGATATCTTTGTTTCAAATTATCTGATTCTGAATGTTTCCCAGAAAAATTTGTTCATTTATTTTACAGTGTATCAGATATTACGCTGGAGATTAGGAATATAAAGATGAATAAAAGAATATTCTGAAAGACCTTGCAGTATGATAGAATAGTAAGAAGCATGAATACATCTTTAGGGATGAACAGGATGTGACAAAGTGATCACTGAGGGGAACAACTCTCTAGGCGAAAGGCTCAGCGCTAGCAATGATGTGAGTGTGGTAACAGCATAAGGAATTTCAAGTAGTTCTCTTTTCAGTGAGTAAAGTTTAACGCCAGTAGTGCAATAGATAAACCTGGAAAAGTAGTCAGCAAAAAGTACAGCCAGGGCTTTTCTTACTTGCCTGTAAGAAGTTTGAAGTTTTCCTACAACGGGAAGCAAGTCAAATGCCTTTAAGAGACTGTAGTGATTTGGGCCAAACAGATAATTGTTTAGATTATAAAAATTCTACAGCTTTGACTAAAGCTGAGAATATCCATAAACCATACCATGGGAATGTCCCCAAGAAAAGTGAGTGCTTATGATCATCAAAATTCATACAAAAGAATGTTTATTACTGCTTTATTCACAATAGTTTCAAATGGAAACAATTTAAATGTCTATCAACAGAAAAATGGATAAATATATGATGGCATATTCATACAATAGAATACATCAATGGAAAATAACAAACTCGACTAAATCCATGGATACTACTACATAGATGCAACTACAAGGATGAATCTCAAAGATGCAATGTTGAGCAAAATAACCCAGACAAAATAGAGCATGTAATTAATACCATTTTTATAAAGCACATGAAGAATCAAAATGTATATTTTTGAGAGAAGTTAGGTTAGCTTTGGGGAGAATATTGACTGCGAGGGGCCATGAGAGCCTACTGAGATGCTTAAAATTTCCAGTATTGCATCAATAATTACATGGAGATATATATATATATGTATATTCATGTAATTCATATATACGTGTTTATGTAATTAATATATATGTATATTCATGTAATTAATATATATGTACATTCATGTAATTCATATATATATATATATCTCCATGTAATTATTGATGCAGTACTGAAAATTGTAAGCATCTCAGTAGGCTGTCATGGCCCCTCACAGTCAACATTCTCCCCAAATATATATATTTGCACATATATATATTTATGTAACCCATATATATATATATATATATATCCATGTAGCCATATATATGCACAAAATGAATATATATATTTATGTAATCCATATATGTATATTTATGTAATCCATATATATCCATGTAATTATTGATGTATTACTGTTAAGCATCTCAGTAGGCTGTCATGGCCCCTCACAGTCAACATTCTCCCCAAATATATATATTTGCACATATATATTTATGTAATCCATATATATATCCATGTAGCCATATATATGTATGCACCAAATTTGTAAAATTATTGAGCTATACATTTACATATGTATTTTACACCTTAATACAAATTTAAAAATTTGAGTCAGTGGAAATTACTGGAGGAACTGGGAAAGCAGTCTTTTCATTCCTCTTGTATTTTGTGTTTTTGTGCATATGTGCCATAATAAAATCACTGAGCTTTAGTTGAAAAGAACTGGATTTAAAACATAGCTAAGTTTACTAGCAGTGAGAGTTTATGAAAATAATTTAGCCTCTTGAAGCTTCATTTTTGTCACCTGTAAAATAGAGATAATAATAATTATTTTATGGGATTGTTGTGAGAACTAAATAAGAAGTGGCTTTAAGCTGGTTACAGTGGGTCATGCCTGTAACCCCAGCACTATGAGAGGCTGAGGTGGGCAAATTGCTTGAGCTCAGGAGTTCCAGAGAAGACTGGGCAATGTGGGGAAACCCCATCTCTACAAACAAACAAACAAACAAACAAACAAACAAAAATTAGCCAGGCATGGTGGTGCATGCCTGTAATCCTAGCTACTTGGGAGACTGAGCTGGGAGGATCATTAGAGCCTGAAAGGGTGAGGCTGCCATGAGCCAAGATCATGCCACTGCACTCCAGTCTGGGTGACAGAGCAAAAATAAAAAATAAAAAAGAGTGAGGGAGGCTTTAGTTCACGTCCTCTAGAAAGTAGACTAAGCCTAGGGTGTAGGCCTAGGATGCCAAGGGTGAAACTTCTCCAGAATGTTTGCCAAGGATAATTTATACTAGTTTTCTCAATAAATTTGTTTTCTTGTTTCCTGTTATCCTCCTAAGATGAATAATTTTTTCCCCTTTCCCCTCTCTCTTTCTATTACACTTTCCCTTTCTTCCTTTCTTCCATTTGTTTTTTTCAGTATCATTAATTATAGGGGCTCAGAGGATGATAGAATTATTCAGTTGTTTCATCCACCACTTTATATTTTAACTGCTTAGAATAACAATACTAACACCACCAATATACTGACTGAAAACAGTTAAATATTTTTGTTGTATTCATGGTCCTCATTTTCTATTTCTAATAGTCATACTATGTCTACATTGTCAGAGCATGTAGCTGTTATGTATTATACTTCATCTCTTTTAACCACTAGCTACTCTTAAGTCTACATGTGAGTGTATAATGTTCACCACCAGTCAGTGTCTCTAATTATTTTCGTTGACTGAAGCTGTTCATTAGTAGATTCCTCAGAAGGAGCTCAAAGAAACATTGTTCCTTAAATTTCTGCATTTTGAGAATTTCACTCACGTCCATGTAAAGATACCACCAAACAGGCTTTGTGTGAGCAACAAGGCTGTTTATTTCACCTGGGCGCAGGTGGGCTGAGTCCGAAAAGAGAGTCAGCCCGCCTGCACCCAGGTGAAATAAACAGCCTTGTTGCTCACACAAAGCCTGTTTGGTGGTCTCTTTACAGGGGCACGGGTGAAATTTGGTGCCGTGACTCGGATAGGGGGACCTCCCTTGGGAGATCAATCCCCTATCCTCCTGCATTTTGCTCCATGAGAAAGATCCAACTACCACCTCAGGTCCTCAGACCCACCAGCCCAAGGAACATCTCACCAATTTTAAATCAGGTAAGCGGCCTCTTCTTACTCTCTTCTGCAACCTCTCTCACTATCCCTCAACCACTTTCTCCTTTCAATCTTGGCGCCACACTTCAATCTCTCCCTTCTCTTAATTTCAATTCCTTTCATTTTCTAGTAGAGACAAAGGAGACACGTTTTATCCGTGGACCCAAAACTCCGGCGCTGGTCATGGACTCAGGAAGGCAGCCTTCCTTTGGTGTTTAATCATTGCAGGGACACCTCTCTGATTATTCACCCACATTTCAGAGGTGTCTGACCACGCAGGGACGCCTGCCTTGGTCTTTCACCCTTAGGGGCACGTCCTGCTTTTCTGGGGGAGGAGCAAGAACCCCAACACCTTCTCTCCCTGTCTCTACCCCTTCTCTGCTTTTCTGGGGGGCAAGAATCCCCCGATCCCTTATTTCCACACCCCAACCTCTTATCTCTGTGCCCCGATCCCTTATTTCTGTGCCCCAACCTCTTATCTCTGCGCCCTACCCCCTTATTTCCATGCCCAGACCCCTTCTCTGCTTTTCTGGGGGGCAAGAACCCCCCACCCCTTCTCTCCTTGTCTTTACTCTCTCTTTTCTCTGGGCTTGCCTCCTTCACTATGGGCAAGCTTCCGCCCTCCATTCCCCCTTCTTCTCCCTTAGCCTGCGTTCTTAAAAACCTAAAATCTCTTCAACTCATACCTGACCTAAAACCTAAATGCCTATGTTCTTCTGCAATGCCACTTGACCACAATACAAACTCGACAGTGGTTCCAAATAGCCAGAAAATGGCACTTTCAATTCTTCCATCCTACAAGATCTAAATAATTCTTGTCGTAAAATGGGCAAGTGGTCTGAGGTGCCTGACCTCCAGGCATTCTTTTACACATCAGTCCCTCCCTACTTTCTGTTCCCAATGCGATTCATCCCAAATCTTCCTTCTTTCCCTCCTGCCTGTCCCCTCAGTCCCAACCCCAAGCATCACTGAGTCTTTCTAATCTTCCTTCTCTACAGACCCATCTGACCTCTCCCCTCCTCGCCAGGCCAAGCTAGGTCCCAATTCTTCCTCAACCTCCGTTCCTCCACCTGGTACCACTTACAGTTTTGTTCCATGACTAGCCCTCCCCCACTTGCCCAGCAATTTCCTCTTAAAAAGGTGGCTGAAGCTAAAGGCATAGTCAAGGTTAATGCTCCTTTTTCTTTATCCAAATCAGATAGCGTTCACTCGCGTCCATGTGAAGAGACCACCAAGCAGGCTTTGTGTGAGCAACAGGGCTGTTTATTTCACCTGGGTGCAGGCAGGCTGAGTCCAAAAAGAGAGTCAGCAAAGGGAGATAGGGGTGGGGCCGTTTTATAAGATTTGGGTAGGTAAAGGAAAATTACAGTCAAAGGAGGTTGTTCTGTGGCGGGCAGGAGTGGGGGTCACAATGTGCTCAGTTGGGGAGCTTTTGAGCCAGGAGAAGGAATTTCACAAGATAATGTCATCAGTTAAGGCAGGAACCGGCCATCTGGATGTGTACGTGCAGGTCACAGGGGATATGATGGCTTAGCTTGGGCTCACAGGCCTGACAGAGAATGGATACATTTATGTTTGAAAGTCAATTTTGTTGAATATACAATCCTCAGTTCAAATTTTCTTTCATTGAGTAGCATAAATACGGTACTTCCTTTCTTCTGGCATAAAGCATTGCACCAAAAAGTCTGAAAAGAACCAGAATTTCTTTCCTTTGTTCATTTTACCTTAATATCCAAAGACTTTTTTCTTTTTCTTTAAAGTCTAGTAATTTTCCTAGAATATGTCTTGGTGTCTCAGGTAAAAGGTATGTTCAGTATGTACATATGAGGTATGTAATTTCAAATTTATCTTTAAAGTTTCTGAAAATTTTTCTTAGAACTCAGTCTTTAGTATTTGTCTTATATCCTTGGTTTGTTTTCTTCAGGATTTCCTATTATTTGTTCCTTGAATCTTCTCTATCTTCTCTATCTTACTGAATCATCACTTTCTGTTAATCCTATTTATCTCTATTCATTTCTTTTGACCTTCTACTTAAAATAAGGCATTACTTATTATGTTCATTTCTCTTGTATTCTTTTTAAGTTTAGTCTTCATTTCTAAATAATTGTTTTATTTTGAATTCTTTCCAAAGTTCTGCCTCATTGCTTATTTTTTGTAATTTAGGTTTTTGTTGTTTTTTATATAGTATATAAATGTATGCTTTGTGAATAGCTATTACAGTTTACATTTTTCAATTTTGATTGCAGTTTATATTACATTTTGTCTTATCATTTCCTAGGGTCCATTTTAGGAAGGTGGAACAATTGTATCAGCTTTATTATAAGAAGCTTGAAGTATTTTCCTATTCATTGCCATCAATTTTTTATGCAAACAATAAGTATTATTTCTGCAACTGGTATAAATCTGATTTATAGTATGTTTTAAATGGAAGAATAAAGTAAGTATAATAGAATCAAGAAAAAATTCTGATTAGTTAAAACACTTATACTTCTAAATTCAACTATTTTTTCTATAGTATTTTTCTATTATTTTGTTCTGTTATTGTTTACTTTGTTAAGTATATCTAAAATATAAATATGATCTTTTTTATTTGAAAGATGTCAGGTGTTAGAAAAAATGAACAAAGTGATTTGTGGACCTCACTGATCCATTTAGACTTTGCCTGAGCTAGCAAATAAAAGATTAAAAATAAAAGGCACACTCTGTATTATTCCTTTCCCTCCTGTGTCCCTCAACCTTCCAGAGTGTAGCACACATTTTCTTTGGTCTTATCTATGCAAATGGACCACCTGGCCTGTCATGCAAATTAGTCGTGTTTTCTAAAAGGAAAAGAATTGTAGGAATGTAATGTTCTTTAGTGCCAATGCCAACTGACTTTTCTAGAACATTTAAAAATGACTAATTCAATTCTCATGGTTTATTCTTAAAAGTTGCCTTGATAATATCCCAACTTATAAGATTCTACTGTCAAACAGCAATAGAAATCCATAGGATGTTAGGCCTGAACTCCAGATAAATATCTTTCTTTAACAAAGGGTTTTATGAAAACTAAAGAGACAGGGTATTTGAAAGTGTTTTGTTAAAAAAAAGAATTAGACAAATATGAGGTATTACCATCATTCTTTACTGTTATGAATTTTAACTTCATTTAAAATCTGTTTCTTGTTCTACTTGGCATTTGCTTGGATACATATGTGGTTACTTTCACTTAATAGAATCCCTTCCCCTAAAATGAGACTCATAATGGGTTCTTATTAAAATGGTGTAAATGTCAGTGTAAGATTCAGAAGGGGGAAATTAGTCCTAATAACTGCAGTAGAGTTCAGCATTCAATCAATTTATATATCTTGAGTTAAATTCTCTTGAATATACTGTTGTTACAAGTTCCATATAAGCCTGGATGAGGTATATTAGAATTCTATTAATGTAGTAGGGCTACTTACTTCTTAAATACATCATGGATCAGTCTTTCGCTTCTGCAAGCCTAAACTTTTTTCTGTTTTCTGTGGCAGCACATGGTTGAGAATAATAATCTAGTCAGGTTACAGAGTGCAATATGCTTCTCTTGGCCATCAGATAACGGATGTGTGTGTGTGTATGTGTGTGTGTGTGTGTGTCTGTGTGTCCATTATGGGTCAAAACACAAAATTAAGGATAAATATCCATGTATAAATATCCATCATATTGCCTCTGCCAGGAATGCATTTATCAAGGGAATTTAATTAATAAAATGCAGTGCATCACTGTCTTGTCAAGCTTGCCTCTGGTAGGAAGGCATATGCTTGAATTCAAGCTGGGAAAAAATGATGAAAACTATTTTCTGACCTGACCCCAGCTCTGTTGGACTTCGTAGAGTGAGATATGTTATAGAAAGCTGTGAGAAATCTTTTCTCATTAAATAGGATACTGATTACTAATCAGTAACTATCTCCAGGAATAGGCAGAAGAATATGGTGCGTGGAAGGTTTTCAAGGGAAATTTTGGAGGTCATATCTGACTGGTCAGTTTTACTAAGTTTAGGCAAAAGGGTTTGTCTGCTTGAGAAAAGGGAAATAAAAAGCTCCCTCTTTTCTGCATCCTTTTATGGCACAAGAAACTGATTCTTTTCTGTATTTTGGGGAAAGTTTATCTCTTTTTGTTAGTAGAGAGAAAGCTTATAGATACTTCTCAGGTTTTGCGTACACAGTTCAGTGTTTGGTATAAAAATTCTAAAATAATGATGATGATGATGATGATGATTATGGCTACCATTTGTCAGTGCTTTCCATGTTTTAGGCAATGTTCTGAGTGCCTTATGTGGATTAACTCATTTAAATCTCAGTAATCCTGTAGTAAGGCTGCTGAGACATGGGAACCTTTAGTAACTTGCAAAAGGCTACACAGAAATGGAGAAAGCAGGATTTAGCCTTAGGCCAGTCTAGCTATGAGGATCATACTCTTAACTACTACCCTGATGCTTCTAGTCAACACATAGTGACTGATGATGACATCCAGAATTATGCCCAGACTCAAGGGAAAAATAAGTTCTTGACTACACTCCCAGCACTGGCAGTTTGGACCCCAGCTACAAAAAAAAAAAAAAAAAAAAAAAAAAAAAAAAAAAATGTATAAAAAGTCACTTTTTTTTTAAAATGCCTTTATAACACAAGCATTTGATGCATACTTATTCTATGTAAGGATGTTTGCTAGGTAATGTGATGATACAAAGAAATATCAGATCCCCAAGGAAATGAATTCTTCTGATATAAAAGATGAGAAGAAAACATGTTTTCTTTCAAGGAGTGGGCAGATAATTTTCTTTATTCCATGTCTGAATGTCAAGATCAGGATCATAAATACTCTTAGTTTTAAAGATTAACAGGAAATTTTAATCAAACACGGCTTTCATGGGCAATATTTCTTTGGAACACATTCAAATTCTCTACATGTTCTCATTTAGTATATTCTTTTTTCCTTTATTATCTGTACACCTGAACTTCCATGCCATTCAGAAGTGTGGGCATGGGTAATTAAACATAAAGTTAAATATTTCTGCTTAGATCAATGACTTCTGATGGAAAGCATATTATTTTTATAATCCTATTCTAGTTACCATTTAGTGAACCATAAATATTAAATAATATCCCCTATTTGGTGGATGACTGTTTATAGCATTTTTGTATTTCTTTAATTACCCTCTTTCCTTTCTCCCTTCCTTTTCTCCTTCCTTCCTCTCTTCCTTCCTTCCTTCTTTCCCTTTTTCCTTTTCTCCCTTCCTTCTCCCCTTCTCCTTGTTTTCTTCCTTTTTTCCCTTTCTTGCTTCCTTCTCTCTCTCTCTTTCCCCCTTCTTTCCCCTCCCTCTCTTCCTCTTTTTCTTTTAGAAAGTTCAACAATCCAACAGACTTATCTGTCATCAGGTTAAGAATGATGGACTCATTGAACTGTTGGCGTCATAAAGAGATACTCATTAATCAAATGAAGTTTTGCCTTACAAAGTCTAATGCAAACATATACAATAACATTTGGTGACATAGAATTTATACTTTAAAATTCATGAATCGTATTTTAAAAAGCTGATGTTTAATTAGAATGTGATAGCATAATGGTACTTCAGAAATTTAAAACTAATACAGTGTTTAAAAATTTGGATTTTAAATATCATTTTGGAATATATATAAATTTAGCAGATATATAAGAAGTGAAATAATTTTCTAATGTTGAAGTTTCATTAAAATAATTAACACAAATATTTTCATAAGAATGCATATGAGGACAGATCATTTCTATAATCTGAAATATTCTTTAAATTATATTTGTAAAATATTTCTGACTATTATAGAGTAATAAGAATCAGTTATAAGACTTGTTTGATATAAAAACAGCAACCAACTGAATTATCTCACTTGGATGTTTGCCAATAGCAGACACTGAAAATTTGAATCCTTATCCTCATGTTGCTCTGACTGTAAACTTTAAATGAACCCACATATATTAACTATATTGATATTTTTAAATGAGATGCCCCTACTAGTATTTCATCCATATGTGCTGGCTGTAATTGGGAAAAATTAGATTTAATATTTGCAAGAAGTCAGGCCGAAAAACAGCTGTTCCCAAGGCCCATGTCCCCTTTGGGCATTTATACTCAAATGTCACAGGACACATATTCCTGCTATCCATTCCCAAAAGATGAAGTACATTTTAAATTGGCAGCAATTCTGGAAAAGATCCAGATTACAAAAGTTTTATAATTTTATGGATATGGATTATCTGAAGCATAACAGCCTTTAATTACCCACATTCTTACTGGCACATTATACCTTCAAAATAGGCACACATAGAACAATTTAAATGATCACATATTTGTATATAATACAGAAATATACAGCACCCATGAAGTTCAATAGAACTGCCATGGGACTCCATCCTGCTTGTTGTATTTCTTTTTCCAGCATTTCTGAAATGGTATGAATGATTCATTATAGACACACATTTTGTACAGCTCATTTGGCAAAGCAATAGACTAAGATTTATAATCCCACTCTAATGATAATTTCTACAAAGTATTTTCCTAAATAAATAATACTCTGTATTTAGTATATTAATATTTGATTAAAAAATAGAAATTTCCCACATAACAACTATGAACTGAAAGCATGCCTGTCTTAATTAATTGCAAATTAAGAAAAACAGTGCATGAATTTTTTCTCATTTGAAGGTTTGATAGTGAGAACTGTGTTATTTTATATTGCCTCTGTTAATGGAGAGGGGAAGTTTGTCCATTGGGGTAAAAAGTGCATGAATGAACAATAAAAATTTGGAAATCATATGTGGGTTTTTCCCCCTTATTCAGGATATCTACCTACTCCACATGCTAGCTAATACACCTTTGCTTTCAATATGCTGACCGTTATCAATAATTGTATACGGGTCTGAGATTTGACTCTGCTTTTAAGCTAATGAGTTAACCTGCTATTATTTTATGAATTCTGGCAGAAAACATGAGGGTATTGTGTCAGGACAAAGGACGTTTTACTCATAGTGCAACAAGCAGTATGATGTATGCACCAGTGGCCCTTCCCCCCCAGTTCTTACAGTGCTGAGATGCAATAGGGCTCAGGTTTAGGTTTATTACATGCACAGAATGTAGCTGAGGAGCCCCAAGCTTAGAGACTCCTTATATTTTATAATGAGCTAAAGCAGACCTGTGCAATCTTTGCCCTGTAGAGAGATAGTATACTAGAGTGTTTGTTAATACTATCTCAGAGGGAGACACAATAGATCTACCCAGGCTGTTTGCTCTACAGACATCCTTGAAAATAGTCCAGAACAAAATTAGTTAGTGTGCTTACTCACAAAATGTGTAGCTGTGAGAGATATCTATGTAGAATTATCTGCAAATAGTTGCATCTCTTGTTTCCACGTTGTCTTTGCTATGGCAGATATTTCCAAGAGTACAACACTCTACTTAATCTGACTGAAAGAAACTGAGACCAGATCTGTTTAGTTTGTCTCATACAGCATTCAGTTGAGGTTATACCCAACAAGACTCCAAGCAGAAGGACCTACATGCACTATTTACCTTAACCATTCATTCGTAAGCCATTATAGTATCCCTTATAAAGCCAAATGGTTTCTTTTTAAGTTTCTGTATTGACCTTTTCACTTGGCTTGAGGCATTAAGCAAAGTGCAGAAAGATGTACTAAAGATTGCCCAGCTTCCCCCTTGTCATGCAAGAACAAAGTCTAGGACACTCCTCTCATTTATATCAACCCTAAGCGGTGAGTTCAGGCTGATTTGCATGCCCTCCTCGGTTGAGGTGGTGGTCCCTTAAACACTTGATGGTCTCTTATGACCACCACTAAAGTAGACATCCATGCTTTTGGGAGGGAAGCATGTTAATGCCTGCCTTCCACATGAAATTGAATCCTGATCGTGCCCCTGGAAAGATAGTGTTGTTTACAACTGATGGTGCTCCTCATGTAGAATCTACATGAGTCTTGGGGCACAGGTTTAAAGTATTTTCAATGTAGTCTCTTGGCTAGACTGTAGGCTTTAGGGTTCCAAGTTCAGTTTGAATAATTAAGTGTATGCCTTATTTTAGAGGAACCATCAGTTTTCCCACACTACATGCTGTGTGGCATTTCTCTGACCCACTGAATGGCTGGGAAAACACCCGCTGGTATTTTGGGAGTTGCAGCCAACCAATTCTATTTCCGATAGATATTTTGAGAAAATTAAGAGAAGTGGAAGCCAAATCATGGTCGAGTCATTTGGAGAGGGATAACTGACCTATAAAGTTAAGTTTTGAAGATCTACACTGGGATATTTTCTTCATGTGAAAGGCTCTACAGAAGAAAAAAAATGATTGTTCATTTTTCCTCTTCCGCATTCTCCCTGAAATCTGTTCCATCCTCAAATGCCAAGTTTGTTGCTTTCCCTTCATCACCACAAAAATCAGTGTGCCTATTCTGGTAGCCATAACCACATCTTTTTTCCAATCATCCCCTACTCAAACTTTTCCCTTTTGTCCAAAAGGATCATGTGCAAAAAAGGCAAGGGCATTTTTATAAAACTCTCAGATACCCATATGTACCCCACTTTGTCCTGTATGGGTTACTGTAGGAACCCAGTAAGCAGCGTAGCACCAATAGTCATTATCCTGATGCTCTAAGACCATGTCAAGCCAACAAGAGATCCAGGTAGCTGGACATGAATTATGTTTGAATCTTCTTTTGGATGGGCAGCCAAGTCTCTCTCTTGACATCAGAGAGACAGGTAACCAAGCCAACCCGGGGTTTCCTTTGGAAAAACAAAGTAGCATCATGGCCAGAACTGGTCAGGAAAGAATCTCAAATTTTCAAAGTAGATCTAGCTACCCCTTATTCTTTTTTACATCATTATCACCCAGGAAGTAACTGAGAGGGGATTATTCCTGTCTGGGATACCCTCATTTAGTGACCAAACTACCTGACTATGGTGTGTGGATCAGAAAGGGTAAATAAGTTAAAAACAGATAATGTTTTGAGTTGATTTTAAAGAAAGTTATGCCAAAACTAAGTGATAACAGATGCTTAGGCATGGCAGGGAGTGTAGAAGGTCCATTGAATATCTTGACTCCTAACCAACCTTTGAATGTTTTTTGCAATCAAAGGCACACCATTGAGTATAAATGATCTGGAAAGAGAGGTCTGGCCTTTGCCCTTGGTCCCTTAGAGGTAATCTTCAAGTCCATGGAATGTCCTGCCTAATAAAAGTATCTTTGTTTACCTGGGGGCTTTGAGCCACAGTACGATTTAGGGTGGGGACTTTGGGTCATGTGTTATTTGTCAACCCCCTGAGGGGCTGAAGACTGAGGTCAGCCATGTGGGTGGTCAACCAGGTTTATAAGATCAAGCCCCAATAAAAACTCTGAACACCAAGGCTTGGATAAGCTTCCCTGGTGAAAAATATACCATGCACACTGTAACATTTATTCTGAAAGAGCTACACTGTCCATACACATATGGAAAGGACAACTAGAAGCTCCATATTGGGAACTTTCTTGGACTCTATGTTATGTACTTCTTCTCTTGGCTGATTTGAGTGTGTATCATTTTCCTGTAATAAACCATGCTGTGAATATAATATTTTTTGCATGTTAGAATGTGAAATTCCAGTTAGATATGAATCATTCTAGTGAATTATTGCACCTAAGGGTTGGTAGCAGAAGCGAGGGAAGTCCACAGGCTTAATGTCATAATCACTCACTAGTTTCAAAAGCCAGAAAGCTGTAGCCAGAATATACTGGAAGAACAAGTCTGTAACATAAAGATCTGTTAACAGTGGTGAGGCAACACTGATAGCTCTGAGATAAAGTTGAATCTGCAGAAGTAGGTGAGAGGAATATCCTGTGCAATACGTCTTACCATAAGACAGCCAATTTTTTAGCAAGAGTCAGAAAGGCATTTGTAGCTTCTGCATCATACATACAGAATCTTTTACTTTGTGTGAAATCTATGATAGTGAATGCATTTCTATCATGGTGAATGATCATGGATGCAGGCAGAAATTGTGGCAATCTGGATAATGCATCTTGATCAGCAATCTGATTTCAGTCAGACTTGTCAGATAATGGGCCTTTATCACAGGAATCTATCTGAGCAACTCAGGTAATTTGATAAGTAGCTGCTGTTTGTTTCTACAAACTTGTTTGTAGTCCTCAAGAATGATGTCATTAATCTACCAGCTTGTAGTTTTCCCAATGGCAGAACAAATAGGCCACAAAAAACCACAGAGTCAGTAGAAATATAAATATAAATTAAGTGTCAAGATCTCTCAAGAAAAGTACTGGCCAGGGCTATAAGAATGGCCTTGAATTCTCCCCACTAAGCAGAGTAACCATGTCCAGCTTTGATTATGTAGAGCTGGTACTGAGGTTGAGCAGCTTTTGCACACTAGTGGATATCACTTGACTCAGTTTAGTTGAGTGAACCAAATTCATCACTGAATCAGGACTAAGCTTTTACAGAATACTCTGTGAGTAAAGGGCATGATGAGTCAGTGGCTTTGCTGCAGGAAGTAGAGGGAGTTGCCACTTGTTAATGTAATGCTGAGATATTGCTGGAGCCCAGCCTACTGCTTTCTTGACTTTGCCATTTCCACTTGATAGATGAGGCTTGTTGGCCACTTCTGACCTCTCTACTTATTGAGTACAAGTTGACCCACCTCAAAATGGAAATAACAGGCCAGAGAATCATAAAGCTTCTGTGAGTTAGGGCACTGATTTTGGGCAAGTTCTCAGTGGCAAGCTCATAGCTGCATTAAAAATAGAAATTCCTAGTAGCTGTACCAAAGGGACAATGAGCCCAGAATCATGAGGTGCTCCTCTGTGTGAAGGCTGCTTTCCTCTGCTTCGGTCTATAATACACAAAATATGTAGTCACAGAGATTCATAATCAAAGAGGACATTAATGTTGTGGGACTGCAGAAGTGGAGAGGGTTCTGTAGCTGGATGGACAGGTTCCAGTACAACTTGTTTAAGCCCCACCCAGAGGATGCTGACTTGTAGATTAGCTGACATAAAGAATTAAGTAGAATGCTCAAGTGAGGAAACACTATCTCCTTTTTGGTCATGGGGAATCCAAAAAATAGTTTGATTTCTAAAGGCATTGAGCATTGTGAATCTACCTAAATAATCTCAAGAAAGTATTGGGTTTGAAGGATCCTACATACTTTTGTAAGGATTTAGCAGTCACTCCTGCTGAAGTGGTGTGAAAACATTACAGTAAGGGTTATTGGGATGGGATTTCTAACTTTCGAACCATCAGAATATCCTCTACATAGTAAAAGCTTTGGATGTTACTTTATAGGCATGCATGCTAATTTCTGACCCAATCACTGGTAGAAAATTGCAAGGGAGTTTGTCCCACTACTTGTGACTCTTTCTTGATTGGAAGAAGCCCCTATGGTGCTTATGGGATGGAGAAGTAGAAACATAGAATACATCAATCCTACCATACATTCAGATGTAGAGAGTCAACAATAGTCCATTGAATTGACCCAAACGGCTCCGTCTTCAAAATCAAATTAGTTTTCTTCCCTTACTGTAAACCCTGTCCAAATGGCAGCAGCAGCTGAATTTTGCCATCTCCTTTCCCTGTAGGACTCTGTAGGGCAGTGACTTGGGTGCTTATGTCCAACAGAGCCATAAAGTTTGAGTCTCTCCTGTCCTTGAATTTTTCCAGTGTATTTATACAAGCGCATATGATTTTGGGTATTTCTTGAGGACAGGAAAACCTCATCCTACTCCTAATTATCTTTCTCTACAAAGCAACTGAATTTAAGGTAAAGATGGGGAGAGAGATGGAGCATACGAAAAGATAAAATGAAGTCACATCACTAGGCATGGCACATTTACCTTTGGTTGTAAATGAGCTGAAACTGATTTCAGTTGAGCCCATGCCTTAACTAAAAAATACTTCAATGTTTTGGCCTACTCAATAACTAGATCAGATGGCAAGATCACCATTATTGACAGCATCTATTTCATTTCTGGGAAATCCTTGACTCAGCCACAGCCACACTGCCTTTCATCTAGGGCTGTGATGCTTACTGCACCAATGCCATGATAACATTCTTCCTTCCCCCTGCCTAGAGGACAATGACAACCACATCACTATTGGGGTAGCTCAATTCAATCTTAGCTCCTGACAGTCACTCAGCCTCTAGACATTCATGAATGGTTAGAACAGTAGGGGGCACTTAGCAGGAAATATGACCCTCATATTCACAATGGTGCACCTTTCCCCTCTCCCACCCCCCAACAAAATCTCACAGAGGTGATTTATGTCACATGTAAAGAACACCAAGCTTAGAGAACCTGTATCTTTTATGATGGGCTGCAAGCAAATCTGACCAACTTTTGCTGTAGAAGAAGGCATTTTTTTTTTAATGCTGGATGATGAATCCACCTTTTTCTCTGAAGAGACACGCTATCTCCCAAGGCTGTCTCTATGTAAACATACTTGAAAAAGTAGTTTGTAAGAAAAGGGCAGTAGACACCTCTGTTTTCAAAATGTGCAGACATGCTAAAGACTCATGGAGAATCATCTTCTAACAGCCACTTCTTACAATTAATCACAATAACATTTTCTTTTAATATTCTTAACACAAAATTACTCCATTTAATTTTATTCAATAAAAATATGGATTGTAGTAGAGCTGTTATGAAGAAGAATGTGAAAACAGTGGGCTTGCTAGACTTAAGCATATGAGTACAGAGTAATGGGTCTCTGGCAACTGAGTGTACAAGTGGTTGGGGCATGCTAGTCTACTAGAAAGGCATTGTGATATATAATGCAACTGAGCACCTACAATGTATTGAACACTGCTTTTGTTTAGGGGCATGCAAAAGCTAGAAAGCAGGCACATAAAGTAATTATAAGGCCCTTTAACAAGAATACAGATATGGAAGTATTTCAGATAAGGTACTAACTCTGAAGAGAGTGGTAAGAATCAGGTAAGGAACATCTGTCTTTACTTTGGTCTTGAAAGTAGAGTGTAAGTTTTCCAAGGATAATACAGTTGAGAGGGGTAGAAAATTACATGAATAAGAAGTGTGAGTAAAGGCAAACATCTACAGGATACTTCTGGAAATATTTGGTAGCTTCACTTAAACAAATTACAGATAAGAGAATGTCACAGGAGGTACAACTGGGTAGGTGAGTGCGGGCAGTCCAAGCCCCATGCCAAGTATCATAACTTATGCTAAGAAATTTGGGCTTTATCTCTAAGTTAAAGGGAAAACTTGAGAGATTCTTGTATAAAAATATGGCATAATCAATCTGCATATGTTAAAGCTTCTTGACTATTGTAAAATAATATGTCAGAGAAGAAAATATTGAAGTTAGAGAGACAGTTAAAAGGAAAATAAAATTATACTTGCGAAATATACTAGAGGGCAGGGTCAAGGTAATCTAAAGGAGCAGAATATATTAGAGTCTTTAGAGACAGTCTTTTGAAACTGAATGGGAAAGTGTCTGTATAAGAGGAGCAGGAAAAAGATCAACAATGACACTCATGTTTTAAAATTTGTTCGCTGGAAAATGGCCAACCAATTTCACATTGATGGTGATGTCACTTTTATGATGGTAGAGATTTTTTTTTACAAAGTATCTAAAAATAAACTTATTAAATATTGTGAGGTAAAGAATGCCCTTGAACTGATGTTGTGACCTTCCACTCTCTCATCCTGCTTTATGCACTTGTAAATATTGTAGAAATTATATAGATTATACAAAACTATTGTCTATACCCAATATTATACATGTTTAAAATAATATCCTGCAAAATGAAATTATCTTTGGACATTTTTTCCTGCATATAACTATTGTAACTTTATTTGAATCAACTGAAAGAAGAATAAAGCTATTTGCTATAAATTATAAGATTTTAAAAATATAGATGAAGTACTCTGATAATCATCAAAAAACCATAGCTTTGTTTAATAAATCTGAAACCACATATTTATCAAATAATCATGAAAACTGCAGCTTTGTTAAATAATTTTGAGACCAAATATCTTCATTCCTATACACAGAGACTATTAATATTGCCATTATAGTCTCAATGCAGTAGATAAAGGAAAACTTTATATACAGTAATCAGTGACTTCATGCAGAGATAAAAAAATACAAAGAATCCTTGCAGATAATTAAATGTCTTAATTCTGGAGAATCTTTTATTAATATATTGGAAAGCAAGGCACCTCCAGAGTCTTGGAAGGTGGCACTGTGATAATACCACAGCTGATCTTTCATTGTTCTAGCTGAAGATTAATTATCTCCTTTCTTCCTATAATATCCGTTTAGTGCCTTATAAATTGGATCCAGCTATTAGCACTATTCATTTATTTCCTGTGAAGATGGTCTAAGCTTTATCTACTTGAGTGTTAGATTTAGTATTACCTTTCATTTCCTTCTTCGCTAAATACACGTTCTTCTAAATAGCTTTGTTGTAATACCTTTCCCTCACTTCACACACCTCCCCCACCACACTGAAGAGACACAAACGCAGTATACACACTCATACATTAATACAAAAGATCTTTTCCTTCTTTTCTTCGTTGCTTCATAATTTATTTGTTATATTTTTCAAGGTTGGAAAAAGTGTCACAAAATGTGAGAAAGATGATCATAACTCACAATTTGTGTTAGCTCATGTGATTTCTCACTAACACATGCTAATAGGGAAGACAGATAAACTGGGCTTCAGTAGCTACCAATCTTTCAAATTTAGGCAGGTCTAGGGCACCCAGTTAGGCCAGGCATAGTGTTTTATAAGGTGTAATATTCTTGTTCTATTTCCATGTTGAAAAGTCATAGAATTAGGCTAGTATGATAGGGCAGTAAGCAATGTAGTCAAACGAGTGCCTCTTATATTTCTCAGTCATTTTCCCTAATTGGTATCCACTCCACAAGGAGACTGGGAAAGTCGGGATGGCAAGAATGAATCGCGGTCCTAGCCCCATGGCCAAATAATTGCACCAGTCACTGGTATGATTCTGGACCCAGATGGACTGTCCAAAATACAGGCAAGAAAGTGACCAGGACAAAGGAAGATGTTGGATTATTTAGTGGTATCTTTATGGCCTCTATTAAAATGAGCATTTGTCCAATCTTTACATGGCAGAGCTGTATTCTGAGCTTAAAATACAGCAGAAGAAACAACAATGTAAGAGATCACAAAAGAAAAGCAATAAAGAGAATTAATTATAAATAGCTAGAATCTGTTTTAGGCTTCAATTTGAGTTCACCTAGCTTCTAAGGAATAATGAACTGTGCAGTGGTGTGTTGAAGCAGGTGCACCTGGGAGTTAGCCTAAGTGGGTTTGAGTATCACCTCTAATATTACTAGCTGTGTAACTTGGGTAAATCACTTACATTCTCTGTACTTTATTATTTTATGTACAAAATGGGTTAAAGAATAACTACTTTATAAGGGATCACATGATCTAAAAAATATAGTGCTTAAACTAGCATCCTCTCAACCCATGGTGCACATTTAATAAGTGTTAGCTCTTGTTATTTAATGTTAATAGTGTCACTGTAAAACAAAATTTTATAATCACTAATTCTACATGTAGAGTCTTAGGTCAACATTACTGAGCATACCATCATGACCAATGAAGTGGAAAATACTCTTTCACTTGTTAGTTAAAAACAAAATCTAACCCCTAGAGCCTGTGAATAACTTGCTAATGGCTTCTTCTAGTGTTGCAAGCCACAAAGCTCTCCATTTAAAAATAAAAAATAAGAAAATAAATGTGTAAATTCTCAAACATTTGTTCATATCCTGCTTGTCCTAAAGATCTTGAGCTCCAGTTCCCCTTCCATATGAAACTGGTAGGCTTATTGTCCTAAAGATTATTGCTGACCATATAGTTTGCATGTTCCTTATTGAAGCAGTTTGTCGAGTTGATTTTCTTTCTCTCTGTATTCTTGTTACTTATTTGTAGAGAAATACATACTTTCAGAATTATTTCCCACTCTGGTTATAGGTTTCTGTTCTCTCTTTGAGTACTTTCTCTTATTTGGCAGCAAGAAATATTGAGGTGCTACAGGGCAGGGGTATTGTCTATTTTTATAGTGTTATTCTCTTGTGAGGCTGTTATTCAATTTAAAGAATAAATTGCATTCTGTGTGAAATGCCTCAAGGCAGGGATGACCAGATGACCCAGGTTTGTAGACTTCTATGTTTTAAAAATATACTCTTGGTTACTGTCCTTTTGGAATGGAAATATGTTCCATGTTTCTAGTCTGCAGTGGTTCATCTTAACATTTTCAGTTCCAGATCATAGAAACAGGGAGATATAGAAAATCCACAATATTTTCTCATGTTGCTAAGGCGTTTAAAAAAATTTTAGAGGCAAAGCTGAAAGCTGATCTGGTTATGCTGACATTTTTATTATGGCATTTACTTTTTAGAACAATTTACACTCTTAAAGGAAAAAATGAGGGTTTTTAAAAACCATTTTTGTAAGAACTAAGAAGTTAGATAATTTGAAAACCTGATATGTGAGTTTAGGAATATTTTTATATTGAATACAAATATCTTCATTGCCCAGCCAAGAAGAAAATATGGCAGTGAAGGGGACTTTCAACCTTTCAAAGTTTTAAGACAATTCTAGCATCTTTATATAAATGATTCACACACTATTTGAAAATGGTAGGCACAGTTCCCCTTCCTGGGAAGTCACTGCAAAATCTTCTGCAATTATTTTTGCATCTAACCCCTTACTGAAATGTTACTGATAACCCGTTGAGACTCACAGAGTCAAGTAAAAACTGGCCAAAAGCCTGAGAATACAACAATGTTTATGTTTTTGGCGACTTGGTGAGTCATTACATCTGCTTTCCTTTTTATAGAATCCAAAAATTTTATTTATATTGTATAAAATACATTTGGAGTAAAGTAGTTTCAGGAAGGTCATGAACTTAGCACAATTTCCAGTTAATAAATTGCATATCAGACTCTTTCTTTTTAAAATTTGTATTAAACTGCTTATGTCTCCATTTGAGAATTGTACATAGAAGGAACATATTTCAGGATACTATTTACATTTAAATAAGGTTTGAAGTACTTGGAAGGGAAGTAGAGTTTTTCAAGTAAGAATGCATGTTACTGTGAAAATGAGGATTTTGCTAGTTTCTAAAATTTAGAAAATAGTTAAATTATTTACTCTCAAAGGGACAATTTCTTTCCCTTTTTCTTTTTCTTTTTTTTTTTTTTTTTTTTTTGAGATGGACTCTTGTTGCCCAGGCTGGAGTGCAATGGCACGATCTTGGCTCACTGCAACCTCTGCCTCCAGGGTTGAAGCAATTCTCCTGCCTCAGCCTCCCGAGTAGCTGGGATTATAGGAATGCACCACCACGCCCGGCTAATTTTGTATTTTTAGTAGACACGGGGTTTCTCCATGTTGGTCAGTCTGGTCTCGAACTTCCGACCTCAGGTGATCCACCCTCCTCGGCCTCCCAAAGTGTTGGGATTACAGGCGTGAGCCACCGTGCCTGGCCCAAAGGGACAATTTCATATGCTCATACAATCGTGGGGATAACGAATCCTGCCATTTCAGTTAGTTAGCCAAATTACTTTGAATAAATGAAGCAATGTTTTGCTTGAAAATGGAAACAGACTGATACCAGAGTTTGAAAGACTGTCTTCTTACTATAACACACATCATTTTCAAGCTTTAACAAATCATTTTAATGACAATGTAATTAACTTTCAATGTGAGAGAATTTGCAGATAGTGCTGAAATTCTAATTTTATTTTAAAGAACAGACTAATAGTGATTGCTGAGTATAAGAATATTTCCTTAATTGATGCAAAGTAGGGAATTAAACTGATTGTCTAGATTTTATTTTAAAAACTGTATAAACATTGACCTGTAAATGATTAGTTTTATGAACTTTTTGTTACCAATTCATATAGAAAACCTAATAACTAATTCATTCCCAGTGAAGTGGGAATTGAATAAATGGACACTAATAGCTATAAATGTATAAAATTTTCACCAGGGAAGATTCATTCAGCCTTCATCTGATAGAAATATATCTCAATTAGCTATAACATTGAAGTGGGGAGAGAAGTCACAAGACAAAGAGAGTAAAATGACTGGGAAAGAAAATTATAAACTTTGTCACAAAATTATTAACTTCCTGGTCTTCGGTTTCAGCAATGAGGGAGTATCATGTTACTTTGTTGTTAGGAGAGGCCAGTAATATAAAACACTGACCCAGATTCTCATTCTATAAAACTCTGTGGGAGAATTTTACTCCACTGGTAAAAGTCAGCCTGTAGAAACATAACCACAATTATTAGATGCTTTTCTCTGAGCTAAATTAATTCTCTGGTTGTTTAAATAGAAAAAAAAAAGTTCTTTGAAACTATTCAAGAGAAAAATAGACTAAAGAGAAATCTCCATATAGTGATAACTTCTACTTCCTTCACATCATTGTTGATACAATCTTTCCCTTTCTCAGAATAGTTTCTACTATGCTCATTTTGATTCTGAAAATGAAATTCCCATGCACTGGCAAAGGCCAATAATTTAGCTCAGGAAGTTTGTAAACTTAGATTCAGTAAGGCGTCTGTCTCCTCTATTACAGTTTTACATACAGAGAAGCTAAACCACAGCCATCTATGCTCTCTTTGAGAAACAAATATATCAGCCTATTGGATTTCAATTTGTTGAAATTAGAAACTCCAAACTTAATTTTCAAAGCCCTATGGTTTTACTTACTCAATAACTTTGGAAATTTCTTCTTTCACACTTTTATTTAAATGTTATAAATTCTGTCTGAGCAGTGATTTTGTCAGTTTGAGAAAGTGAAAAGAATATAGTGGTGGTAATTGGAAGATTTGGCTCTAATCCTAGTTTTGCCACTAGCTGACTTTTCAACATTTTTCAATGCACTTAAGTTCCTTGGGCTTAATTATCTTCCTTAGTTGAATAAGAAGTTTGGATAAAATGATTTTTTTTTTTTTTTGGCTTCCACCTCCTGGGCTTGCACCTGCTGCGATTCTCTCCAATCCTAAGGCTACTTGTTTTGAGAGACTTTAAGTTTTTAAGAGGAGCTCTTTATTATTATTTATTATATTTATTGTAATTTATTACTATTTATTATATGGTTTATTTTCCATTCAGTTCCTGATTGTTGTGCACTTTGTGATATACAAAGTTCATATTTCTTAATTTAAGTTACAGAAGCAGAAATATGACTATGTTAATATACTTAACAAATATGTATTGATGTCTATCAGGCTCCAGGCAGTCTATTAATAGGCTTAGGATACATCATTAAATAAAATAAGCAAAGTTCACCGCTTATATTTTACTGAAGAGAGAGATAGATAAGAAAGAAACAAACCACCATATTAACAAACAAAAAAATACATATATGAAACAAAACCCCCATAATTCTATGTTAGAAATTCAGGTATGTTATGAGAAAAAGAAAGAACAAGTAGAGGAATCATTGCAATGTGTCTTATTGAATAGTGTAGACAAGAGTTCATTAAGAAAGAAAAGTTAGAAAAAAAACTTGAAGGAAATGATAGAGTAAAAAGTCAATATCTAGGGAAGAACATTTCCAGCAGTTGTAACAGCTAAGTTACGATTCTAATACAGGGATGGGTGTGTTGTAAGTTAGTATAATTTGGGCTAGATGAGCAAAAAAAAAAAAAAAAGTAAAAAGTGTGAGTGATTGATTTTTTTAAAAGGCTATAATAATTTAAGCTTTCTTTCTCCATACCCTTTATAGTACTGACTACCAAAATACCGACTCTGGGTTGTGCTACGTGACTTGCTTTGGACAATGGTATAGCAGCAAAATAGATTCAAAGGGTGGCTAGTAAAAGTCCCTTTCTTTTGGAACCCTGACTCTGCCATGAAACAAGCCCTTTCCAAGCTATGGGACAAGAGCTGAGTCATTCAGCTGAGGCCTTCCTAGACCAGACAGCCCTGGTTGACCTACCAGCTGACAGCAGATGCTGCACAGCTGACTCCTGGGTTCATCAGAACTAATAAAGTGTGGTTTAAAAATAGTTTAGAGGTGTTTTGTTTTGCAGCAGTAACTAATAAGAAGTTATGTCAGTGACGTAGTGGAAATTGGGGGTAAATCCTGTGGGACCCTATTAGGCATTGTAAACATTTTGGCTTTTACTCTAGGTAAAATGAGAAGCCATTGACAAGGTGTCAAATAGCATATGAAACAATCTTTTATTTCAAAATGCTTACTCTGGTTGCTGTATGTATACTTCTGCATTCCAATTCTTTCTTCCCTGGCCCTTCTTTATTCAGAACTTCAGAGTGCAGAACAGGGATTGGTACCTAACATGGGACATTCACCCCCTTCAAAAGGAGAAATATTTCTGTTAATTTAACTTGGACTTAGCCGGACCTTCTTGTGGATAGAAAATTTTGTTCTGACTTTTCATTTTTCTTCCAAGGAGTTATTTATATTCTCTTTTGCTCAAGGATGACTTCTTTATGTCAAATATACCTTCTTATCTAATTTTCATGTTTAAGAGAGCTATCACCTTTCTATGGGAATTACAGTCTCATGCATATTATGAGAAATGAGCCAGGGAGGTAGAACCTAGGACATCTTTCTAATATTGTGGAATCCAGAATCCCTAGGAATAATGCAGTTGGATGAAATGGCTTCTAATAGTCTCAAATTTTGTGTACTTCTAATAATCTAAGAAACAATCTTCCCATGGCATTTAATTTTTCACACGAAGTTTAATATGTTGCACAAAGTGATATTTCTTGGACATTTTTAGCAACAAATATCCACAGCATTTGTTCTAGAGCTCCTGCTCTTCCTTCCTGCCCCTGCAATACAAAGACCTCATGACTTCAAAGATATTTTGTTTGAAAAGAGTTATTTAAGGAACATTTTTAGCATAGGGTTAGTCTTCTCTAAGTGTAAATAAAATTGTACCCCTATATTAATTCCCTGTTATAGAAATAATAATTATATAATTAATTATGTGTGATTAAGAAATAATTATATCTAAATTATATATTAATAATTTATTTAATCTCTTAATAGTCTCCCTCTCTGTTATTCTCCTCTCTTGTTCTTGTGACCTAGCTATCGGGTTATCATTTACCTAAGAAATAAAAAATTCTGAAGAGTCTTAATTCTTAGAAAATTAGTGTAACAAATTGAGACAGCACTGAAGTGAATATCAGAGAACCTGAACTCCAGTCCAGGTTCAGTCATATAGTAGGGGACCTTGAAAAAGTTATCAATTAATTTCTTTCTCCTTTATAGTCATTTAAAACTATTATTGACTTTTTTGTAAATATTAGTTAATAAAATGCAAATTTGCCTTTGCAAAAGAAACCTTTTGCATTTTATTAACTAATATTTACAGCCACCATTCAAAGAAAATATTAACATTATTTGCAGCTAAGCTATATTTCTAGATATAAGAAAACCCTGATTATAAGATAATTATGTATTTCTTCAAAGAGAAGATAAAACGTTTATCTGATCAATGTTAAAAAATAAACTATTGGCCGGGCGCGGTGGCTCACGCCTGTAATCCCAGCACTTTGGGAGGCCGAGGTGGGCGGATCATGAGGTCAGGAGATCGAGACCATCCCGGCTAAAACGGTGAAACCCCGTCTCTACTAAAAATACAAAAAATTAGCCGGGCGTAGTGGCGGGCGCCTGTAGTCCCAGCTACTTGGGAGGCTGAGGCAGGAGAATGGCGTGAACCCGGGAGGCGGAGCTTGCAGTGAGCCGAGATCCCGCCACTGCACTCCAGCCTGGGCGACAGAGCGAGACTCCGTCTCAAAAAAAAAAAAATAAATAAACTATTAAGGCTGTTGATGAAATAGTCAAATGTCTAGTGTAGGTTGTCTGTGCATTAACAGACCCTATTAAAGAGGTTAATCAAATCAAATTTAAATTTTCTCACACTGAATAAGACCAGAAATTGACAGTTGAGAGCAGGTACACTCTGACCTCAGAGGCTCACATTCCTTCTATTTTTCTGCTCTGCCATACTTTCTATGAGGCATTCATTCTCAATGTTATCATTTTCTATTTCAAAAGATAGTTCCTCCTTCTTCCTACCACCCTCCACACACATAGCCTCTGCACTTCTGGCATGAAGAAGAGCAAAATAAAATGACAAAATTCTGTGCCAATAGATTCTGCACAGTTTTAAAGGTCTTTCCTGGAATTTGTAATCAGAAATTCCTGATGAAATCTCATTGGCCATCAATAGAAGAGTTAGGAGATATAGTTTTAGTTGGGCTTATGCCTGTTCTTTACAAAATATAGGTTCTCTTGGTAAGAAGAAAAATGAAAAGAAAAATAAACATTGGATAGTACAATGATTAACCTTATGTGTTGACTTGGTTAGGCTATGGTGCCCAGTTTTTTGGTCAAACACAGGTGTAGATGTTGCTGTGAAGGTATTTTTTTAGAAGTGATTGACATTTAAATCTGTAAAATTTGACTAATCTAAATTACTCTCCATTACATGTGTTGACCTCATCCAATCAGTTGAAGGTCTTAAGAGAAATACTGAGTTTCCCTAAAGATGAAGAAATTCTGCCCCTGAACTTCCTTGGGACTCAACTTTTCCCTAGGTCTCCATACTGCTGGTCTGCTCTGCAGATTTTAGATAGAACTTATTGATTGTCTCTAGGGAACACAGACTAATACAAATTTTGGTATTGAGATTGGTTTCAGAAAAACTAAATCTTAAGGATGAGTTTTCTGAACTGGTTCTGGGGTTTCTAGAATCAATTCTCTCACTCAATTAGATTTAAAGGCACTATTTGTAGCAGGAAAAACACTGATAGCCATGGTGTGATGTGTCCATAGAAATATGCAAAATATCATCATTGGATATTCCTGTTTAAATACTTATAAGAGGCAAGTTTTTGGGTGACTATGTATTTGATACCTTAGAAGATTTTTATCAAACTAACAAGTAAAATGAAATTGGCTGGTTGTTCGTAATTGCGCTGGAAAAAGTGGATACACAAAAGTATGAGCTCAAAGGGTTGAATTTCCAGCTAAAGCACTGCATAAATTACCTGAAAGGTTATATTGTCTGCCTCAAAAGAAAACCTTATCTTTTGTAGTCCTAAAGGAGAAAGTGCTGAAAACGAGGCCCAGATTCTTATTCTGTTAGTGGCTGAAATATAACAGAAATTTAATTCCCAACTTCATAAGGTATCTACTGGTAAATTGAGGGCATTGATTGGGAA
The DNA here is from genome assembly GCF_000001405.40 of Homo sapiens. Classification (NCBI taxonomy): domain Eukaryota; kingdom Metazoa; phylum Chordata; class Mammalia; order Primates; family Hominidae; genus Homo; species Homo sapiens. The sequence continues at coordinate 90,049,484 of NC_000003.12, read as the reverse complement.
GGAATAAGATCCTGAAAAGTGAAAATGTGGTCATACTGTATTATAAAATACTGATGAGGATGAGGACATTAAGCTTCTAAATTCTGCTGGGTCTTCTTTACCAGTAGAGGTAGCTATTCCCCTCCCCCGCCCCCCAGAGGAGATTAACACTAATTTGCCTGAATAAACTGTAATGATCTTCTCTGAGATAATTGCCTTATAAGATACTGCTGATTTACCTCCAGACACAGTTCCAGAACCCTGCTTTGCTTCTAGTCTATAACTAGACTCAAGTTCCAGAAGGCCCTGAAAGGTGAAGTATTTCTATGATCTGAAGGTTTGTGTTCCCCCAAAATTAAATAAGTTAAAATTAATCACCCATGTGGTGGTGGTAGAAGGTGGAGCCTTTGGGAGGTGGTTAGGTCATGAGGTTGGAGGCATCATGAATGAGATTAGTGCTCTTATTAATAGGCTCCAGATCCGCTTTTCTCCCTCTACCACGTGAGGATACATTGAGAAGGTGCTGTTCTATGAGCCTACAAGTAGGCCCTCACCAGACACTGAATCTGCTGGTGCCCTTATCCTGGGCTTTACAGCCTCCAGAACTGTGAGAAATAATTTTCAATTGTTTACAAGGTACCTAATCTAAACTCTTTTCTTATGGCAACCAAAATGGACTAAGGCAGATATAATTGTGATCATGAGGAGGTGTGCTGCACTCTAAACAAAATTATATGATTTAAAAATTTATCCAGACAGAAATATGGAAAATATGTGTGGGAATGAATGTTAAGAGTGTGGGATATTGGTAGAAAATACATAAAGTTGAAACAAGCCAAATTTATTGATTTAAGCCAACTAAACAGAGATTGTTGATTTAATATTGCATCTTGGGGGGTTAGAAAAGCCTCTAACAGTTTGTTTAGTTGGTTAGCTGAAACACGAATAAAAGGTGACCTACACTAATTAGTTAACATGCCAGAACTGCCTTCATGTGCAGTAGAAAAAAGAATCCAAAGGGTTGGGAAAATAGGAATAGAAGTGTGAATTTATCATGCAAGACCTCCTCATCCACCATAGGAAGAGTCCAGAGGACATACTTATTGCCACAAACATGAGAAATAAACTTGTTAGGGGAACTTCAGCCTCACTGAAAACCTCCATGATCACTCTTCTTTGCAGCTCAGAAATTATAGTGTGAACTGCTGCCATTAAATTGGGAAACTAAAATTCAATGAAAATTATTGGATCTCACTGTGTCAGAGGCCAAGTGGTGATACTTAATCATTAAAATAAAGGTAAATGTGGTTATTATAATGGACACTAGAGTCAAAGCAGTAACTAAAATAGTCTGATTCACAGAGCTCTATGATATTGGCTAGTTGATCACTTTCCTAGAAGTGAAATAAATTGGAAGTCTACTAAATTCGTACTTGATCTGTATAAGGACTACAGTCAAGTGAACAAAAGTTTAGCCTGAATCATAAGAACAGACAGTCATGGCCCCTCAATCAATTCTCAGACTTGAGTCAGTTTATAAAGCCCAAATTCTTCAAGTGAAGGGAGGTGAGATAACTTTGAGGAAGCACCCAGCTACACTGCCAATAATTCTTCCAGCCTTCCCCAACAGGGATGTAAGCCTTTTATCATACAGGGTGACTGTGTATCAGGAAAGAGAACAATCAGGATCTTCAGAAATTACTGGACACTGGCTCTGAATTGATACAATTTCCAGGAGACACTAAATGCCATGGGGATCCACCAGTCAGAGTAGTTTATGAAGGTGATGTTTTGGCTCATGTCCATTTCACAGTGGGGTTCAGTGAGTCTCCAAAACTATCCTGTGGCTATTTCCCTAGTTCCACAATGCATAAGTGACATAGATATAATCAACAACTGGCAAAATCCACACGTCTCTTCCTTGACCTATAAGGTGATGTCTTTTACGGTGGGAAAGGCCAACTGAAAGCCACTAGAACTTCCTCTTCCTAAGAAGATAGTAACTCAAAAGCAAAATCACAGAGATTAGTGCCACCATCAGAAACTTGAAAAATTCAGGAGTGGTGACTCTCACTGTATCCCCAACCAACTTGCCTATTAAACAGAAAATAGATAGATCTTGGAGAATGACAGTGGATTGTTCTAAGCTTAACATGGCAGTGACTCCAGTTGCAGCTACTGTACCAGATATGGTTTCATTGCTTGAGAAAATTAACACATCCTCTAGTATCTGATATGTAGCTACTGATTTGACAAATATTTTTTTTCTCCATCTCTGTTAATAAAAACCACGAGACGCAGTTTGCTTTCAGTTGGCAAGGCCAATAATACACCTTTACTGTCCTACCTCAGAGTGTACCCATTTCCCAGCCTTAGGTTGTTAATTTAGTTTTCAGAGACCTTGATTGCTTTTATCTCCACAAGACATCATACTGGTCCGTTACAGTGATGATATTATACTGATTAGAACTAGTAAGTCAGAAGTAGTAAGTATTCTAAACTTATTGGTAAGACATTTGCATGTCAGAGGATGAAAAATAAATCCAACAAAAATTCAGGGGAATTCTGCCTCAGTGAAATTTCAAGGGATCCAGTAGTATGAGACACGTAAAGATATTCTTTCTAAGATGAGGAATAAGTTGTGGCAACAGGCCTCTCCTACAACCAGGAAAGAGGCACAATGCCTAGTGAGCTTCTTTGGATTTTGAAGGCAATGTTTTCCTCACCTGAGTGTGCTTCTCTAGATGACTTACCAGGTTATCAGAAAGCTGTCAGTGTTGAGTGCAGCCCAGAACAGAAGTGTCTGTAAGAGGTCATAGTGCTATGCCATCTGCTGTGCCTCTTAGACCATATTATCCAGCATGTTCTTGGTGCATAAAGTATCAGTGGAAGATAAAAATTTTGTCTGAAGCATTTATCAGGCCCCTGTAAGTGAATTACAGTGCAAACACTTCAGATTTGGGAGCAAAATCCTGCTATCCTCTGTGGATAACTACCCTCCTTTTGAGAAACAGTTTTTGGTTTGCTACTGTAAGTACTGTAAGCTACTGTAAGTACTGTAAGTAATCAGTAGAGACTGATTACTTAAACATGGGCCATCAAGTTACCATGCAATTTATGCTGCCCTCATGAAATGGGCCCACCAAGCCATAAAGTTGAGTGTGCACAGTAGCACTCCATCATCAAATGCAAGAAATGTATGAGATTGGGCTCAAGCAGGTCCCAAAGGCATAAGCTGCCTAAAGAAATGGACCGAATGCTCATGGTCACCACTCCTGCTACACTGCCCTATCTTTCCCAGCCTCTACCTATGGCCTGAAGGGGAGTTCCCTGTGATCAGTTGACACAGGAAGAGAACACCGGGGCCTGGGTTACAGATGGTTCTGGATGATATTCAGCACCACCTGAAAGGAGACAGATGCAGCACTAAAGTCTCTTTCCGAAACACCCATGAAGGAAGATAATAAAAAAAAATTTCCAGTGAGCAGAAATTTAAGCAGTGTGCTGGTTATTCATTTTGCTGGGAAAGAGAAATGGCAAGATATGTGATTGTACGTGGATTCAATGATTCAGATGGATGGTTAGAAACTTGAAAGTAACGTAATCAGAAAATTGATGACAAGGAGGTCTGGGGAAACGATATGTCAATATACCTCTCTGAATAGGAGAAAAACATAAAAATATGTGTGTCCTATGTGAATGCTCGCTAAAGTATGACTTCAGCAAAGGAGAATTTTAATAATCAAGTGCAATTAAGTATGGCTTAAGGATATGTGTGGGGTTGCCAAGTTGACAAGTGTTAGACTCTGATGGTTAATTTTATGTGTTAACTTAGGCTATAGTGCCCAGTCGTTTGGTCAAATGCCAGTCTGGATGTTGATCTAAAGGTATCTTTAAAATGTGGTTAACATTTAAATCAGTAGACTTTGAGTAACCCAGATAACCATGCAAAATAAGTGACTGACTTCATCTATCAGTTGGAGACCTTAAGAATAAAGACCGAAGTCCTTCAAAGAGGAAGAAATTCTGCCTCTGGACTGCCTTAGGACTCAAGACTGCGGCATCAACTCTTCCCTGGGTCTCCATGCCACTGGCCTGCCCTGCAGATTTTAGACTTGACAGCGAGTCCAAATCTCAGGTGAGCCAATTCCTTAAGGTTAATCTACCTGTGCATACACACCCTATTGGTTTCATTTCTCTGGAGAGGTCTAAATAATACAATGTCTGCCTCAATAAAAAATTAAAAATTTTAATTAATATACTTCAGCAGTATTTGGATTTTATATTTTGCCATTATAATTAGACATTTTACATTTTATATTTTTCAACAATAATGCACTTAAAATTAAAGATAATATCACTTTTATAGAAGAAGAAATTAAGTCTCTTGAGTGGCCAACTGAATTACTTTTCAAAATGATATAAACATTAAATGTCAAGTTCAGGACTGACACTAATGTTCTGGAGCTAGAAATGTCACAGTGGCTTTCCGAGGGGCAGTATTCACTTACACTATTAGGCGTGACTTGGGCAAGATACTGATTTTCTATAAAGTGGGCATAATAATTGTATCTAAAGCAAATGATAATTTGATGATTGAGATGTGTATACTGAGGATTTTGGACAGTGTCTGAATGTACCATATATTTAATAAATGATATTAATGCCTCCTATTCAAATGTAACTATTACTTTTTTCTATTATATCCATGATTTTTATTAAAAAATAATCTTTATTTTACCAAAAGTTATATCGATTTTACAATGGAATTCATTTTTTCCTTTTTAAAAAGAGCCTTTTAAGTGATTAGTATTAATTGAGAAATCTTTTAAAGTAAAATCTAGAAGAACTATTACAAAATCTAATTATGTAATATTTGCTGATATGGCAAGATTTTGTCTGGACACCTTGGATTTAGGATGGGCCATGGGGAGAGAGAATCAGTGAAGGTTGTGTGCCAAGCATAAATTCATGCTTCCAAATGGTCTAAGAATGCCTTTAGTGTTTTTTTTAATGCTCCATTTTTAATATTTAGAAAGCATTTCAGAAGTGTTTTCATCAGTAACTTCCCCCAAAGACCCCTTTGGAAAATGATTGACATTTGGCAGACATCCTTTATTGTGTCAAAGCTTTGTTATGATCCTTTTAGTTTCAGGAATAGAAAAAAAATTCAAAATATGTACTTGTGTACTATTCCCAAAGGTAATAATGAGAGGATTAAATACAATCAGTTTTCTGGAGTCAGTCACAGCCATAAATATGCTATTGAACATATGTTGGAACAGTCTCTAAGGTTTCAGAGAATGAAGAATGAGCTAAAGATTGTTTTTACTCCAAAATCTCTTCTATTCAAGAGCAAAAAGCATTTGGAGGATGTTAAAAATTGTACATTCAGATTCAGTAGCCACCAGTATCATTGAAGTTTTGGCTGCTGAAATCCAACTTGAATACTGTCACATATGTGTAATGATATATTTTATCAAAATCAGAGTTTCAGAATACAGTAGAGTAATGCTAGAAACTCTATCATGATCTATCTATCATGATTTCTGATAGCCCTTTCCTTTAAAAGTTTTGCTGGTTCATAGCTTGATCATCACTTTTCAGAACAAAATAGAACACCTTTCATATATCTAACTTCTAAAAGTACCTAACCATATTTACTGGAAGTACTGAACCTATCAGCAGCATTTATATTGTTGTGCCCTCTCCCTTCCTTATATATATTTTAAGATTTTATTTCCAGAACTCTGAACTTGATGACTTTATTCCTAATTTACTGATTCCTCATTCTCAGTTGCCTTTGCTGGTTCCTTCTTTTTTGCCTGACCCATTAAAACTCTGGCATGGCCCAAAGTTCAGATTTTAGATTTTGTGTGTGTGTGTGTGTGTGTGTGTGTGTACGTGTGTATGTGTGTGCGTCTGTGTCTGTTACAGACTTATGGTCATCTCCTCCAGTCTCATAACTTTAAATACTATTTAAATGCTGATGACTTCCCAATTTTTAACGCCCTTGGCCAGACTGTGCTCTCAAACCACAGACTCATATATTCAATTGTCTACTTAACATCTCCATTTCACTGTCTAATAGACATCCACAATGCAGCATGTTTGAAACTTTGTAAAATTTCAAATATTCTGTCCTTATACTGCCCTTTTACTTCCTTCCTGCTCCGTGAAAATCTGCTTTACTTCCATTCTTGTAGTCGTTTAAGTGGAAACCTTTGGAGCAGTAATTATCTTTTTTCTTTTTCTTACATTTTATATCCATTCTGTTCAGGAAATGATGATGACTCTATCTTTAAAACATATCCACTGCTGTTATTTCCCTTTTCAGAATCACCACAATCTCTTGCCTGGGTACTTAGCTATCCTTTTAAAGTATGTAATAAAATGGCCGACATGGTCTCTCATGGTCTGTCTTTTGCCCCTCCCCCACCTGGCTCTTCCTACCATTTTGCACAAGCTCAGTCGGCTTTAGCACGTTGGCTTCCTTGATGTGTGAACATTACCAGATATGTTCCTGTTTTAAGGTTTTTGCTCTATCTATTCTGAAATGTTCGTCTTCCAGATATCTATTTAGCTAAACTCATCTCCTTGTTTAAATCTCACCATTTCAATGAGGCTTGCCCTCACCGTAATTAATATTAAGTCCTGCTTGCCCCTTCTATCCCTCCCTGCTGCCTCCCACTCCTAACACTGGCCTTCTGATCTTCTTTACCATGCTTGATTATTTTCATTTTTTTCCATAGAATCATTCATTTTTAATGCCTTTCCCCAACTAGAATATAAGTTTCTTGGTTATCTGTGATTCTGTTCACTAATGTATCTAGCACCTAGAATAGTGCTTGGCACTTAGTAGACATTCGAACCAATTTTCATTTGAAAGAATAAACAAATGAACATGAGAAGACAAGAAAGTCTGCATATTCTGGCCAAAATCTTACCTGCAAGCAACAAAACCCAAGTAGGAGGAGTTGGTTTGAAGGGTACAATACAGACTGTGATTTTCTTAAAAGAAAGAAAAAAAATGAAGACAGTAGTTTGAAAGAAAAGAGGTTGTTTTTTTCTGTGCAAATAAACCAAGTCTTTTATTATTGCTTATACATTTAACATTTTTTATGCAACAGTGTTTAAATTTTTCAGATTATTTATCATGGAGAACAAAATTATGTGCTTTTGTATTAAAGGGAAAAAGAAACAGTAACTGGCATAGGGAAACAATAGGACCACATAGAACTAATGCCTAAATTGCTGTGATCTGAGGAGTGACCAAAACCCCAACGCTAAGAGGACTTCAAAGATAACAACTTCAAAGCACCTGAGTTTTCAAACTGGATATAATGTCTGGTGTGATCTGGCAGATTTTGAAAGGATAACATTCTGCCTGAGTTATGATAAGACTTCATAAAGATTTATGTGTTTCTTGAAGTTTATGATTTGTATATTTCCTTCATCTTTCATTTGTTGTTATAAATCGCAGCTGTTATTGTAAGTATTTTTAAAGGATTGTGTGTTATATATTTTCCTGCTAGAGACTGTTTGGATGCCTTCAATCCAAGAAATGTGTTCAGATCTTGAAAAATTAATAACAGGAAGAGATTCTTTTAGAAAATAGAAAACATTAAATTATAGCATGTATTGTTAGTATCATCAAGCATGAGGAAATTATAGTTCAATGTTAAAAATAGCTATAAGACTGAATTTTATTCTTGGTATAATAAGTTTATCTGACTGAAGTGGACCTGAGAATTAAAAAGAAATGAGGAAATTGAACAAACATCCAGAAGTAAATCTCTTAAAATCAGAGAGGGGAAAATCCCAAACAAGTGAACATTGACAAAAATAAAATTAAATAATAAAATTGCTAAATTTATTTGAGAATTTGATATAACCTATATGTCATGAGTAATGTCATCAAATATATCTTTTAGGTTAACCTAAGGCAAATTACTTAACTAAATTTCTTTAAAGATTAAACATTTTTGGCTCATGTTAAAATATCTACTTCTGATGATGTAAATAAATGGTTTAATTTATTCTTGTTACTTATAATGAAAGCCAGTACATTTTGTTTTTGAATCAGTATAAAGCATTATGAAGCAATCTTAAGCATTTAGCACAATTGTTAAATTTCAAAAAGTTGTACTTGGAGTGAGAACATGAATGTAGAGAGCTGGAGAAGGAACTACAATTATGTCTGCTACTTTTCTGACCTGGATTATCTTATACCCACAGTATCACTATGGGGTAATGGGGATAAGTAAAGTTGTTATAAGATTATTCCCGTAAAAAATTAGAATCTTTGAAAAAAAGACATTCCAAAAAGGGAAAATCTTAGGATTTGTATGCAATTGTCCTTTCTTACTTACAAAAAATAAACTTAATATAAAATTTTCTGTCTGAAGTATTCATTCCTTTGCAATTTTAATTATGTGTCACTTAAATCAACTATAAAACATGAATGTGCATGAAGTCCACTTTAAATTGACACTTAAAAATGTCTAGACTTTAATAAAATATATGAATATGCAAATGCAGAAAAATATCTTTAATTGCTCTACAAACAATATGACGTTATGTATCATGTATAGTATATATAGGGAAAAAGTTAAATTTTTATTTTATTATTTAAACTTTGTATTATTTTTGTTTTCCTAATGCATACTAATATCACAGTTACAAAATACTTTCAGTGTGAAAGAACTAAGACCACGGTGTGCTGTCTAAAGTGATTTATGATCTTCCAATGCTTAGAGTAATGTCAAGTTTCAGTTTTGGATCCCACTATTATAACGTGTCAAACCATTTTAAAAATACTCTAACAGTTGACTACACCTGTTTCCACTTTGCAAATCCTTTCAAGTTCATGGCACTTTGATAGAAAGGGAAATATTTAACTTGTGCCTTTCTTTTTCAATCTAAAAAATTGAATTTTTTTCCTTATTGTAGTTTTCTGTATGATATACTAACATTAGTAGGAAAATAAATTTTTAAAATTAACAACTTTCTTTTATTTGATCACTCGCAAAGAGATTTTGAGAGTTCTACTTGGGTTATTTTTAAAGAAGTAATTAGGCCAAAATGTGGCAAAATTCTACTAAATTATATTACAATATTTTAGTAAATCTAATCTTTTAACACTTAATCAAAATATTTTGGCTATACATCTATCAATTTGATGTATATGTACATATACACATATTCTCCATTTAAATATTTAGCAGCATTAATGGTTACACCAAAAATAAGACATATTCGTCAGGTAGTTACTACTTCTCATTTTGGCCAGCCTACTTATTTTTGGTATCTTTAAGCAGAATGAGGCACTCGTCATCTTGAGACTTTCATATGGCCTAATTGTCATTGGAGGTCCCATTTCTTTGTTTAGTTACTTGAAGTGGCCTGCAATTATGGAAACTAAATAAAGCCATCTTATTATTATTTCCCCCATTCTTAGTACATGCATTTGATTAATTCTAGATTATATTCATGATGATTCAGGGAAATACATTTAAACTGTGAAAACAACCATGATAACATAAATTTTCCTAGGAAGAAACTGTGAAGCTTATTGCAGTTAAAAAATGTGTCATAGGTGCTGCAGATAAATTTGATAATCTTTACTTACAAGAATATCAGTTTAGTCTTTATCAATTTGATTTTATGGATCCTGACTCTCTCAGCTTTCAGACACACTCTGGTTTGGTGAGGCACTTTGAGAAATTATCTTTTCCAATCCATTATGAAATTTCAGTAAAGGGTTTAACAGTGTCTTAATCCGAATAACTTAATAAGATAAATTTGAAAAAAAATTATGTTTTGCATCCAAGAAATTCCCCTTGACAGAAATGTTATCGTAAAGGTAATAATTGGATGAGAAATTTCAAAATGTATTATAAATATGCTCAAGGAAGGTTTCTAAGGGTATAATCTAGTGTGTTATTTAAGTGCCTTCATAAAGCTATAAAGTGCTTTTTAAAAAGTGAATACACATTATAGTTTCAACAGCCCATTTAAAAAATGCTTCCACAGCCCATTAAAAAACATACTTGAGAATAAGAATCATCATTCTTATTAGGAAGTGCATTGTCTTAAGGGAAACTTCAGTATTCCCATGATGGATCACTTAGATACTCACCAAGAATAATTTCTGTCCTAGATCTTATTGAGCCGTGTTTATACTGAGAGGTTAGGCTCTCAGTGAAATCTGCAGGCTAAAGCTGCAGTTGTTTATGCTATGTAGAGCCACATAGTGAACAAAATAGGGGGATGTAAAATTATATTTTCTTACTTATAGAAAATAAGTCAGTCTTTAAAATGGTGGAGTATTTTTGAAAATGAGTGAAACCCTCATACTCTATAAAGTGGGTCTAGTGAGAAATCAATAATGGTTCCCAGGAAAAAGTAAAGATATACAATGTTCCCAATGATGACAATCTTTCTTGTACTTACCAGTTAGCCCCAAAGAAAATAATATCTATATTATGGTGTTGTTTTTGAGGGTCAAAGATCATCTTTGGGAGACATCTAAGATACTTCCTGGTATATGATAGGCTTCTGAACAATGGTACCCTTAAAATGACAGATAGGCTATCTCAGGAATCCCAAGATTTTTGGTCGGGTTTGTAATCACCCTATTATAGCTAGATTTTTTGCATCATCCTCAATTTTCTCAGCAGCATCAGCATCATACTCAATCACTTTTTCTGTTTAAGTTCATAGCTCCATTATAATAACTTCATAAGACATGTAGATGATTGAGAATAATGTTTATTTCAAACATTCAGCACTAGTTCTTCTTTTTGTTTTTCCTCCTAATTATCTTGGATTGCAATGGCTTCTTAACTTTCCCAAATGACATATTCCACATTCCACAAAACATTCCTAGTTAATCCTTTGGTGATATAGACAATATAATATTCAGCAAGAGAATCTATTGAAGATTGAAAGTTCAAAAGGAAAAAATAATCTCAGTCCTAGTAGGAAAACTTAAAATCACCTACTAGAGGATATAAACTGCCATGATAGAGAAATGAGCTCTGGGATAAAAAGATGATGTCAATTTTTTCTCTCCTAGGATTAGCTGACTACTTTTATATCTTTTTTTGCTCAGGAACACTTAGGAAAATAATTTTATAAGAAAAGTTACTTTAATCTTATTTTTAAAAAAATCTTTCAAAAACTGTTTCATTTAAATTAACCCAGAGCACTGTATTTATTCCCTCCCTGTTTATTTTTACCATGGCTTTCATACTGATTTTCATGTCCTATTGTCATGCTTATGGAATTATCAATTAAATCATTTAAAAATGCCATAATTTGTCAGTTCTTTTTTCAGTTATAAGGAACATAAATAGGGCGAGTAAGTATCGGAAAAATTAAGAAAATAAAATCTGTTTTAAGAAATCATTTAGTAGCATAGAATTGAGCATACAGTATGAGTATGCCACAGACTATATTCACATATATGTTCAAATTAATTCTTTTCTTGATTGCACTCTTGTAAGCCACATTTGATGATCTATATGGGATAAGTACATGATACAGTTGTATGCTTTAAAAATATGTTATAGTTCAATTTTCTCACTGATTCCAAAGGATCTTTCTGCGAAAACTCCAAATAAATTTTGTAAAAAACTTTTCTTATAATGACATTTCTTGAAAGTATAATTTGTCTACCTTGTCCTGCTATCCATTCTTCAAAATAACAAGACATCATATCTGATTTCATTTGGTATTCTTTATGTCATTTGTAATTATAGCACAATATTATCACTGTGTCTACTCACTATTTGTTTCCTCACATGTCTTTTGCTTGTCTCATTTCTTCTGATTTAAGCAATCACGTTCACAATTTTTCTGATCTTGTCTCTTGGAGTCCTTCTTCATATTTTGTCATTCCCTTCATTCCCTTCCTTTTCTTAACTTCGAGTCTATGATGTCTTTTGTGTTACTTCTTTAAATCTATTGAACTATCTTAAATTATGCTTGAAGTCATTAATTTTGTAAGATGCCAGTAGGCCTAAGAGCGTGGTTTTTCTTTGTCACTAACATGTTAAAAAAAAAAAAAAAGATGGTTTTAGTTTACTAGGGCTACCATAACAAAGACTGTGTGGCTTAAACAACAGACATTTATTTTCTCACAGTTCCAGAGGCTAGAAGTGCAAGATCAAGTTGTCAGCAGGGTTGTTTCTTCTAAAGCCTCTCTGCTTGGCTTGCAGATGGCTGTTTTCCTTCTGTGTCTTCACATGGTTTTCCCGCTGTACATCTGTGTCCTAATCCACTCTTTTCATAAGAATACCAGTCATGTTAGATTAGGGTTCATGCATATGGCCTCATTTTACCTTAATTACATATTTAAAGATCTTACTTCCAAATGAAGTCACATTCTGAAGCACTGGGGTTAGGACTTCAGCATAAGAATTGGAGGAGGAACACAATTCAACCCATAACAATGACATAGCAGAAAACTTCTTTTTGTAATTGTTCATTTTTTTGAATAACTTCTAATTGAAACCCAATGTCCTCATGAGCTTGCCCTCTGGCTGCCTAAGGGAGCTCTCTCTGCTACCTCATTTATGTATGCCATTTCAGAATATGTACTGTGTTTAGAACTTTACCAAAGTACACACACTTTTATCAAAAATTACTCATCCTGTTATATGTTTCTCATATTCCTAATCTATGGAAGAAAGCCAAAAAAGTCTAATCTTCCAAATGAAATCATGAAGGCTAAAATGATAAACTGTTACACATTCTGTTTAATGTATTTTCATTTATACAAGAATACTCTGAAAATGCAATATATTTAATAATAGAAATGAGAAAAATGGCAGATATTTCTGGTGTAAGATAAAGCTTCTGAGGACATACATGAGATTAGATGAGTTTTGAATATCTTGAAGTTATGTCACGTGTGTTCTCTTATTATGTATGTCTGTGTCATTGTATCTACAGTCATTTAAGATGATCTTCATTATTTATAAGAAAATATTTGCTTGTCGTTTCACAAGTATTTTGTAAAAAACATGAACTTTTAGTTTAAACTTCAGTGAGCCTATATTCTTGATGGATGTATAATGACAATGATCAGTTTCATTAACCATACGATATTTATCATTGAGCTAAATTAAACAAAATCAGCATTGAATAAGCACCTATCGTGCAAAACAATATGCTTGTGCCATGCGAGTCTAAATGATGATGTTAATTGGATAAAAAGAAGCTTCATAGTATGCCTCAGAGTCATGAGTTTTCTACCAAAATCCTTGGACTGTATTTTCCAAATGAAAGAAGACACGAAATGGAAAGCACATGGCTTTCCAGGCATGAGAGTCAATATGGAAGAGGCATTTTTAGCTCCAAATGTTGAAATTTTTGGAATATTTTAATGCTTGATGAGAATTACCTGAAATCTGGCACATATGGTAAGCATCATATCTACCCAAGTACTTTTCCTTTCCATCTTCAGCCTGTGTAATTTTCAAAATGTGTGGGGTTAAGGTGAGAATTACATAAGCATATGGACCTTGCTCTCCCTATAGATGGAACAAAAGGTGTGAAATAGGGAACACTTCTGTATGCTAGTGTGTTTACAAATCACTTTGGGTTTTCCCCATGACTCAGGCCCAAAGTGATTGAAGGGTGATGATGTTTACAAATTAGTATTTCCTTTTCTGTGAAGCTTCAGGCTTGAGGCTTCAGTATCTTCAGCAAGAAAGTCCAACAGCTGCTGCCTTGCTGATGAGTTACAGGACTCAGAGACAGGCAGATATAAAGAGATGTAAAGACAAGGGCAGATGGCCAGAGTAGATGAATGAATGCTGACTTATCCTTCATGGTGCAATCCTCAGGCCCCGTTGGTAGCAAGTTCTTATGATGCCTCTTTTGCACCAAATACATCATATCAGATTGTTTTCCATGAGAAGCGAGATTGTTTTCCATGAGAAGCGTCCCTCAACAGGGTGCTCTCACTTTAGCCAAAAGCTAATATGGGTTTTTAAAAGTGAAGTAGCCTCTGTTGGAAATTCATATTGCTGTTTCAAAGCTGGAAAGTGGAGTATGTATTAAAATAACTTTTTCGATTTTCTTCACAAAGAAATTAAAAAGATTCCACCTAGGCAAATGGTTCAAATCCAAAAGACAAAACAGTTGTGTCACATAAAACAACAAAGCAACTGAAAATTTAAAAAAAATTTGGAAAAATTTCATTCCAGGTATCACATACATTTATAAATCTATCAGCAGTTGATTTTTTTTTTTTTTTTTTTTTTTTTTTTTTTATCAGAGTCTCACCCCATCGCCCAGGATGGAGTGCAGTGGCGCAATCTCGGCTCACTGCAATCTCCGCCTCCTGGGTTCAAGCGACTCTCCTGCCTCAGCCTCCCGAGTAGCTGGGATTACAGGCATGTGCCACTATGCCCAGCTATTTTTTTTTCTATTTTTATTAGAGACGAGGTTTCACCATGTTAGCCGGGATGGTCTGTATCTTCCGACCTAGTGATCCGCCTGCCTGGGCCTCCCAAAGTTCTGTGATTACAGGCATGAGCTACTGTGCCCAGCCCCAGTAGTTGATTTTTTTAAAAAGATTATACATAACTTCAATTTTTCTTAATTGTAAAAAGTGAATGAAAGTTATTTTACAGTATCCTGTTTCTTAAAATTATCACATTATCTTATATTTAAGGCAGCTGGCTATTTTGATGAGCTTCTAGTTTTCTATTTAAATATTTAATATCAATGGCTTTGACAGTTTAATAAACACGATTGCTTAAAATAAAATGATGCTGATATTTTTACATTGTAGGCACACAGAAATATCCTGTAAAAATTTGCCTACACCCATATCTATACTATACAAGGTACTATAATAATTGAAAACAATAATCTAGATATTTTATCCATCCTAGTAGCATATGGATGCAACATTAATAGTTTGTACGTTACATAGCCAGATTTATATAATTCCATTTAGCCAGGCACATTGATTGTAAATTCAGTCTTTTAATTTGCCTTGGATATGAAACATTGTTATACATTATTTTTAAAACTCAAAAATAATTACATTGTTGAGAAGCATTGCATTATCTATTCTTAAAGAAAGTAAACAAGAACCTGGCTATCTTAAAAAACATTCCTTCCCTTTGGCAATGTAAAGCTATAACACAGTTGTCTCAGCTGCTACTTGGCATTCATACCAGACCCTTGAGCTGCCAGGCATATTTTTAATCCCACTCTCTCCTTTTTTTCCCAAGTAGTTTACAGTTACAGTATGGCACCCATAAGCTGCATCTCTCAAGGGATCTCTCAAGGAAATGTCCAACTGACAGCAGCAGGAACAGTCAAGCCTGAATCAGTTCAGGTCTTTCTATGAAGACTTTACTCACAAGTCGATATGCATCCAGCCATCTAACTCAGCGGAATTCTCAAAGACCAATTTATATTTCATATTTGCTCCTCTAAGGCATTCCTCCAGGGCAGAAATGTTCCAAAATCCACAATCCAGAAAATTTAAAGCTTCACCAAGTTTGCAGCAATATGCATGGCAATAAATTGTGTTTTTTTTTTCCCCAACAGTAATGATGAAATGTTCATTTCAGTACTTTAAATGTTTTGCAAAGATTTCAAATTGCCAGTGTTAGCTATATGTAGATAGTGGCTTCCATATATATAAATGGTGATAGCATGCTCTTTTTTGTTCATTTAATCAGACTTTGTGTGTATGTGTCTGTGTGTCTGTATCAGTAAACACAAATGTCTGAGGCACGAAAACAAATGTAAAAACCTGCTATGTTGTGTTGAATGATAAAATGACAAGCAACTTGTCTTTGAGATCTGTATTAACAGACATTTTATAAGAAGGCAAAGTTAATGTGCCCCTGGAGCTACTATTTAAATGACTTTAACTTTATGGTCTTTTAATGTGGGACCCCTCAGCCTGGAAATGAGGTGGATTTTCCATCCTCTGATTCAAATCTGCTCAGCAGGGTAGCTTTCCTGCTATCCTCCCAGCAGCTGTTAGTAGCAAGAGAAACAGTGTACTGCAATAAAATTGATTGCTCCAACCTACACTGTTCTACAGCTCTCAGACAGCTCTACTTTTTGTTGGGTCTCTTAACACCTGCTCCCTAAAGCACCAGATCTTATCTCCAATTGGTCTAAATGCAAATTCCAAAAAGAGAATGGCTGCTTAGAAAAACCATAAGGCGGTTCTGTGAGAATTGTGAGGAATTGAGTGCCTGTTTTGCTGAGGTCTTCGTGAAGATAACAAGAAAGGTCTGCCAACGCAGGGGTTTTATTGTGATTAAGATCTTAGCTCTAAATCAAGACATGGCAACCTGTATCCCTAAATCATTCCCGTGTA
Organism: Homo sapiens; assembly: GCF_000001405.40. Lineage (NCBI taxonomy): Eukaryota > Metazoa > Chordata > Mammalia > Primates > Hominidae > Homo > Homo sapiens. Next base: position 90,033,139 of record NC_000003.12, on the reverse strand, counting down.
GACACTGGGGAGAAGGACAGTGTGCATTAAGTGAATTTCCAGCAATATTGAGCCTTACAAATTCCCCGGGTCTTCCTGGAAGACTCACATGTGGATAAGTAACACCTATTTGATATTTCCTTTCGGATTCCTGAGGATCAGTTGTCAGTCCTATTGAAATGTTCATTCTCAGTATAAGACTGGAGCTGGTATTATCATGACTTGGTAACACAAGGAAACAGTTCAGCCTTAGGTGTCAAGGATGTTTCCGGTGATGGCAATATTGTTAATCTTAATTTGAAATTGCCACAGTACTTCATTTTAGCAATTTTTAAATGTCACTATGACTTTAAACTTGGGTTTCTGGTTATACCTTATTCCAATTTAGTACTGACATAATATTCAAATCAACTTTCAGGGAAGTTTTCCTAATGACACGCTCTGAATTATTAATTCTATCATAACACATTCCAGTGTTGCTGTATGATGCTTGAAGACATGTAAGGAAGGGGATTTGCACAAACATTTTATTTTTGTTAAATTCTGTTTGACCCACAATTTGGAGTATTATAAAATTTGGAAAACTAATTAAGTATAGCCATCATTTGTGACTCATGCCCTTTTAGTAAAAATAGTTTTCAGTTTTTCTTTTAAAAACCCTCCAAGTTTGAAGTTGAAATAACTTATCCCAGAAAAAAAATATCATGCAATACGCAGTAGCTGACCAAGCCAAATAACATTAGTGAAATAAGCAGTGGAAGAAATACGTATCTATTTTAGAAAGAAACATGAAGTTTATTTTTTCCCGTAAGAATTTTCTGCCCTAGTACATTACAAAACTTTCGCCACTCTGGAATAAACGAAAAAACCTATGAGGAGTTAGGTGGAAAAAATATAGAAAGCGGATTTGACTGGGGTTGTTAATATTACTCTTAGGATATTCTGTTTGGGAGTTCCTTGCACAGAACAGTGGGATTTCTGAGAAGTCAATTTGACCATTGACAGAATTATGTCACTCCCAAGATTCTGCACTTTAGAAAGCCATTTTTTGCCTCCCAGTTTTTGCCTTAATAGTTACTCAGCAGGTTTGCTTGCTCCAGGTAATTTGACATTAACTTTTACTGAAATATTTATATTAAAAAGTGAATATGCTGATATATTCATAGAATGTTAAGATACAGATCATTCTTTATGTATTTAAATATGATATCAAGACAGTTTCTGTAAAAAGACCACAGGTATATAGAAATTCCGTGGCAAGGTCAGAACAAGAATATTCAGAAGTATGGAAATTAAAAAATACCTTATTTGTAAGTGAAAAGTTAGTTATCTGATTTCTGGAAATAGATATCCCTATTGTAGAATCTCATTGAAAAACCAAAAAATGAAATAAGAGAACTTGACTGATTTAAGTCTATCTAAGCAAAAGTGAACTAGATTTATTATTCTAATCTGAAAATCTGGATGAGAAAGAATCATAGGAGAGTGGATTGATGTAAAGATATTGGTGGGCTGAAATGGGCAGTGGGTGGGGGGGCATTGGGCTTGTCAAAAGAAAGGAGTTCTGTTTCCGATAATGTTTCCAGAATTTATCACATGTCAGTTCATGTTTACTTCTGGACATCAAAGGATGTGATCTTTTGTCAAGGTCTATAAGGGAAGGTATTTGTAATAGTTATTTATTGATGCAGAACAAATTATCCACATACTTGGGAGTTTAAAACATAAAACATTATTGTCTCATATTTCTATGAGTCAAAAATTTGAAGGCAGCTTAGCTGGATGGTTCTGGCTGAGGGTCAAGCCATGGTGTTGGCTGGAGTTACTGTCATCTTAAAAACTTCACTGGAGCTGTAGCTACAGGATCCACTTACTGGATGGTTCAATTACATGACTCTAGCAGAAGGCATTGATTCCTTGATGATTTTTGAAAAGAAGCATCCATTCCTGTCCACATGGACCTCTACATGGAGTTGCTTGAGTATTCTGATGACATGGTATCTATTACCAGCTTTCACCAGAGCAAGTGATCCCAGAGAGAGTGAAGAGACAGATGCAAGGCCCTGCATGACCTCATATTGAAGGTCACACACCATCACTTCTACATAGTCTATTTGATAGAAGCAAGCCACTACATCCACCCAACATTCAAGGGGTGGGGGATGAAGCTCCGTTTCTTAAAGGAAGGCATGTCAAAGAATTAGTAGATATATTTTAAAACTACTACTCTCATTTAATGTCATTTAACTTAATAAAAATTTTATATGATATTCTGTTGTATCTTGATGTTTTTTTAACATCTTTATCTTCAGTCATTGTTCCTAAAGTTCAGACACAATGCCACCTTCAAATGAACTGAAAAAGCACAATTTCATAATGAAAGCTATCTTATCTAGGGAAATGAAATTCCTGATTAAAATATTAAAATGTCAAAGAAAGTTAACATTTAAAAACATGTCAAGTAATGTATCTGATTACTGGATGTATACACTGTATAAACCAAAGAATATTGATTGTGAATCCTTAGAGAAATGACAGCCTTCTGTAAAAAACTGTGGAAGATGTATCTTCTATAGATGATAGAAACAAACGTGCATTTTAATCTCTACATATTGTTGCCTGATAAACTGCATTATATTAAATTAATTAGTTATTTTAAATAATTACCTCTCAGACTTCATCCTCCCCTCTTATTCTTTTGAGGGAGGGAAAGAATGATCATCAATACCAAGTGTCAGTTGCAGCAACACAACACAGAGAGCTGGCTTCATGCTTAGGAGACAATGCTGTGCCCCTTTCCCATAGTTGATGGTGCTCTACACTTTCAGAGAAACTTCTAGTACAAAGCATAAAAATGATCCCTGAAAGAATAGTCTTGATAAATGATATGGTTTGGCTGTGTCCCCACCCAAATCTCATCTTGAATTGTAGTTCCCATAATTCCTACATGTCATGAGAGGGACTGGGTGGAGATAATTGAATCATGGGGCTGGTTTCCTCCATCCTGTTCTCATGATAGTCAGTAAATTCTCAAAAGATCCGATGATTTTATAAGGAACTTCCCCCTTTGCTCAGCTCTCCTTCTTCTCCCTGCCACCATGTGAAGAAGGATATGTTGGCTTCCCCTTCTGCCATGACTATAAGTTTCCTGAGGCCTGCCTAGCCATGCTGAACTGTGAGTTAATTAAGCCTCTTTCCTATATAAATTACCCAGTCTCAGGTATGTCCTTATAGCAGCATAAGAATAGACTAATACAATAAATTATATTTTAAAGTTGAAATTGATGTTTGAGTATAAATGCCTCAGAAAGGCATATGTCCTGTTTTGCTTAGGGTGCAATCCTGCATAAAGTCACTCAATGTGCTAGTGTCCCAAAGCATTAAACTGAAGAATTTCATAAGTCTTTTCTCATTCATTTAAAGGATAGCAATTAATACTTTTCTTACATTTCTGGATTAATCCTGATTCTTTCTTAAAGATAGTAGATTTTTATGTCATTTGTTGACATTTAGTAATGAATGAAGTATGTCCTCCAACATTTTAGGACTATTAACTTCTATTTAAATAACACATTTAGAGGTATAATTAGCAAGCATTTTTTGCAATATTTTAATTTGGCATGTTAAGTTTTCTAAAATAATAAATTTCCATATGTATATGTAGTTGAATAATCTCAGCAATCTTATGCAGGCCAGAATTTTAAGTTTTCATTACTTTTTATAGCTACACAAGAATCAAAATTATATTTTATTAAAACATTAATGGAAAAGATTTGATTGCAACAGTTTTTAATACCACAGAGTGTATTTGTTGATTCAGTTTTTTGGAGTGGGGAGAAAATTAGAAAAGGAGAACAAAGAGAATATTGACAAAAATATGGAAATCTTTTTATTTTTTATTTTTAGAGATAAGATATCACTCTGGGCTGGGTGCACTGGCTCACACCTGTAATCCTAGCACTCTGGGAGACTGAGGCAGGCGGATAACCTGAGGTTGGAAGTTCGAGACCAGCCTGACTGACATGGAGAAACCCTGTCTCTACTAAAAATACAAAATTAGCCGGGCATGGTGGCGCATGCCTGTAATCCCAGCTACTCGGGAGGCTGAGGTAGGAGAATCACTTGAACCCAGGAGGAGGAGGTTGCGGGGAGCCGAGATGGAGCCATTGCACTCCATCCAAGGCAACGACAGTGAAACTCCGTCTAAAAAAAAAAAAAAAAAAAAATTACTCTGTCACTATACTATAATAATACTAATAAAAATAAAAATTGTACAATTATAGTTCAGGACTTCAAGGTCTCCCTCTCAGATACTGATAGGAATATTAGACAGAAAATTTAGCAAAGACAAAGCAAATCTGAACACCTTTCAGAAAATAGGATCTAATTGACACATATAAAAATGTCCACCTGAAAACTGCAGAATATATACATATTTATTTCAAGCACCCGTGGAACATTTGCCAAAATAACCTGAACCATAAAACAAACCTCGACAAATTTAAAAGAATTGAAGTAATGTAGAGTTTGTGTTCTGTGACCAAAAATCCATAACAGAAAGAAGCCTTTAAAATCTCTAAACACATAAAAAATAAACTACAAATTTCTAAATACTTCCTGGATAAAAGAAAAATTTAAAAATACATGCATAAAAATTAATAAAAACAAAAACACAATTTATCAGAATACATAATATGCAGCCAAGGCAGTGCTGAGAGGAAAGCTTATAGCCCTAAATTCCTACATCAGAAAAGAGAAAACCACTCAAATCAATTACCTAACTTTCTACCTCTAGAAACTAGAAAAAGAAGAGCAAAATTAACACAAAGAAAGCAGAAGAAAGGAAATCTTAAAGATGAGAGCAAAAACCAAAGAAATTTAAAATTATTAACAGTGGGGAAAACCAATGAAACAGAAAACAGAATCTTTAAAACAATCAATAACATTAAAATCTCTAGCAAGACTCACAGAAATACGAAGCAAGAAGGCATAAATAATAAATATTGGGAATAAAATATAGGATATAATTACAAATCTTGCAGCTATTAAAAGATTAACAAGGAAATGCTATGGATAACTTTACACTAATTTAGACAACTTAGAAGAAATTGAATGAGATAACCAGTAATAAAAAGAACAAATTATTGATATATGCAACAGCTTGGATGAATCTTCAGAGAATTATGCTGAGTGAGACAAGCCAATCCTAAAAGATTATATACTTTATAATTCCATTTATATAACATTCTTGACATACAAAATTTACAAATGGAGGACCTGTTAGTGGTTGCCAGAAATGAGGGATAGAGGGTTGTAAGTATGTGTGGTTCTAACAGAGCAACAGAAGGGATCCTGTAGTGATGAAACTGTTCAGTTTCTTGATTACCTGGTAATGAAACTGTTCAGTTTCTTGATTATCTAGTAATGAAACTGTTCAGTTTCTTGATTATGATGGCGGATATATGAATCTACACATGTAACATAATGCACAGATTAAACACCACACACACAAATAAGTAAAATGTATTTGGAGAAATCTAAGATTAGCAGATTGTATCAACATCAATAACATGGTTGTGCTATTATACTATAGTTTCAAAATGTTCCCATTAGGGAAAACTAGGGAAAGTGTACAGAGCACACTTTCAGTATTATTATTTACAATAGCATATCCAGGTACAATTTTCTCAAAATTTCAGTAAAATGTACAGTTGCTAAGATTTTTAAATAGCCATTATCTTAGAAGTGCCATTTTACGTGTTTTTCATCCTGATGAAAATCACTCAAGATATTGCCTGGCATATTTTAAACCCTGTATAAGTGTTTTCTAATACTACTTAATAGAATGCACAATAAATCTTCTTCATTCTTTCGCTTTTCTATTTCAGGACACAACATGTCATTCAAACTTACTATTATTTCCCAATAATTAAAGCACCCATGTACTTTTTATAGATAGATTTTTTAAACATGAGGAATCAGTCACACTTAATAATTTTTTACCTCCCAAATATTTTTTCATCGGGAAATCATAAAAAGTGAAGTTTGTTAACCAGTGTCAGCTCAGTAGGAGCACAAATAACTTATGCAGGTGATGGTGGAGCTGAGAGAAAAAGAGATGCAGATTTCTTCCTGTATTGTAAATGTAAAATATAGTCTGGTACCAAATGTCTCTTTCCTCTCCTTTTTCCTAGACCCTGGAATCTGTGCTGACTGAGCCCATCTGGGAAGGCACAAAAACCAGATGTCCATTGTGAACTGCTGGGGAGGCCCCATGGCAGTGAGAGCTAGTCCCAGAAAAGAAATCTCTTTGGGACACAATGAATACAGCCCTAATTTATATTTTAGGGCTTTAGAAGGAGACTAGGGTCAACAGTGGCATGATTTTAAACAGCAGTTGAGAAGGCTTTTTTTTTTTTAATCTTTACACCAGCGAAGCTGAATTATAAGTTTGAAGAGCTCCTGAAGTGTGAAAATATGCCCTCAAAGAAAAGGAGGCTGTGCAGATTACAAACAGTATGTAAAAGGATTGTGGTTAAAGAGCTTCATCAAAGCAATGCCATCTGCAGTTGGGTATTGTCACAGGGATTATAACTTTAGGAGGGATATAACCAGCAGGGGATAAAGGAATGGCCTCCCTCCTGTTTTTTATGCCAAAGCATTTGAACAATTAATAACAAGGGATTAGAGACCAAAAAATATATTGTGGCCTTGTTCTATTAAGACTGGTGTCAAGGTCGAAGAGACATGGTTCATGAACTTGGGAAGCCTTAGTGCCCTTGTCATAGGACATCTACAGCCCTCATGTGTCTCCAGTCCTAGCAAAATGCCATGATGACAAAAATTAGTTCTGGTCTAAGAGAATCAGTAAATCAGATACAGATATCCATCTGGCATTTCAGACTTGGATCTTAATCTTTTCCTCATCTTTTCTTTATTAGATGGCATATATTGGATTTACTTATTTCACTGACGATCCCTTTTCCCACGGGAGATGCATCATAAACACTGATAAAGGATTCTGAAACAATCAACTGAAGCTCAGTCAACACCAATCTAAATGAAAATTGCAATTAATATTTATCATATTTTTCCATGCCTAGTGACTTTAATTATCATTCAACCATATTTTGCTATTACAGTTGCCTCAGATAGTCAGTTTGTGACTTAATCTATCATGACAATTAATTACTTATCCATTTATTAATTTAACAACAACATGTTGAGGACCTATATGTGCCAGGTGCAACGGGATGCAAAGATAAACAGTCTTCCTACCTTCAGGCATCTCATAGATTGAATAGAAATATTAAAATTTCTACAAAGTATTAAATGCAATAATAAAGATATATATAGGATATAATAATACCACAAATGAAGGTTATTAAAGTTAGTTTGGGGGCCCTCGTCAATTTCTTGGTGCTTTTGCTGAGCCACACAAGTTAAGTAGCAAATAGGGTAGAAAGGCATTCCAGGTAGAGGCGGCAGCTGATATGCAAAGACAGGAAAATGAAAAACACATGGTGTGTGCAAGAAACTGCCTGCATTTTGTTGTTAGTAAGTAAAGTCTACATGAGTAGAAATAAAACTTGAGATGCAAGCAGGGTCTAGATTATGAAGGGCCTGGTTTATCTGATGAGGACTTTGAGTCTCATTACACTGAAGGGGAACCTTCAAAATACTTTGGGATTATAGCTGCAAAATTAGATTTCCATTTATGTTAGACTTCTCTGGCAGTTTTTGGTCAATGGATTTGAAAATTACGATATCTGAAGAAGGAAAACCAGTTAGATGGTTGTTTTAGCATTTTAGTTGAAAGATGAGGCTACCTAAAATAGGACACTATTAGTACGGCAGACACACCCTAAGGGGACCCACAATGAGTCACACTCATGTAATTTTTTCTCCCTTTGAGCATGGACAGACAATCTAAACAGAATAAATAAATACAACATGGTAAAGGTGATGAACTATCATTCCTTTGATTATGTATTTACATAAGGCTTTATTAGTAGACTGGGGTGAGAAACTCCCACTTACTGGCTTTGAACTAGTAATCTGACATATTGTAAGAGGTCCTGAGAGAAGCCCTTGAGGAAAAAAAAAAAAAAACTGCAAATGTCCTCTAGCAGATGGGAAAGTCTTCTGGCTGACAGACAGCAAGAAAACAGGAACCTTAGACACAAAACTGCAAGAAACTAAATTTTGCCAACAACCATGTCAACTTGAAAGTGGACCCTGAGCTCAGGAAAGGAACACAGCTTGGCCAACCTTTGATTGCAGCCTTGTGAGACCCTGAGCAGAGAACCCAGTGAAGCTGTGCCTGGGCTCCTGACCCACTGAAATTGTGAGATAACAAATGTGTGGCATTTAAAAAATTGTTAGTAAATGTGTGTTAATTTGTGAACACACAATAGAAAAAATATAAACAGATTAGAAGGAATAGATTCAGGAATGTTTTTGGAAAAAAATTTTCCAGACCTTGGTGATTGACTAGATGTGGAGAATGAGTGAGAGGGAGGAGTCAGAGGCAGTATAGCAGTTGGTGCCTATGTGCATCTCTTTAGCACGCACCTCCTCATGGTCCAAGACTACTTGTTGGAATCCCTGCACCCTTGTATGACAGCTCTTTGTTTGTTTGTTTTTTCCTGGCTGGTGGAGAACACTTTGCTGGTACAAAGGGCAAATCAGAAGTTCCAGAGATAATGTGTCTGGTCACTGGACCCCTCAAAAATGATGGAGGGAGATCAGGTAGATAAATACCTAGTTTCCTTGCCCATTAGTTGGAATAGCTCTGACTCTTGTTTTATACCATCTCTCAGACTTCCTCAGGGGGCTAAAAGTCCTATGGGATAAAGCTGTGGTTGCCCACAGTGGTAATTTGCTTAATAAGTCACATTCTACTCCCTGCTTTCTTTACCTTATTTCACTCCCCCATTTCTCTATTGGTATTTCCTGGGATAACCTCCCAAATAAACTACTTTCTTTTTTACTGCTTCAGGGGTCAACTCAGACTAAAACAGTTAACTTTCAGGCTTTAAGTTTGAACCATATAATATTTTCATGTTATCTTGTAGGAGAGGCATCATCAAATATGGGCAGTTCAACATGGTTATATAAGTAATTCAAATAGACAGTAGGAATTAAATAGGTTTAGGGGTTGAGACTGAGTCCAGTTTTAGATAAATTGACCTGATGACCTTTGCGATTTTCAGGTGAAAAATTTCAAAGGACTCTACTTATCAGAGTCACAACAGGAAGTAGATGATGCACACAAGAAGATGTCACTGAAAATGATTTAATAAATGAGCTATTTCCAGAGATGTTGGCAGGGTTCAGGGAACCAGCAATAAATGACAAAGGAGCCAGAGATGAGTAACAGTACAAGGCTGTTTTTATCCCTGGGCCTTAATGGGCAAGGGAATGAACAGTGCTTCATGAACTGGATGAGAACTGGTGTCACCCAAGAGGGGAAGCCAGAGGGAAGACATGGCCATCGTGAGATGCAGACCCTGCCAGAATCTCAGACAATCAGGCAAGAGAGGAGATGAATACTCCAATCCCATCTTTTTACCCTCTGATTTTCTGCTGGTGTCTTCCATTGACTGAACCCAATTATACGGCAGAGAATCTCAGTAATGAAATTTATACTCCTTCTCCTAGCCTGGGCAAAAATAGGATTTTAAAGAAGTAGAAAGTGGTACTGGGTGGATTGGGCAAATGGAAAGCAACACAAATTGTGAAAGCTTATTTGAGATAACTCATCTAGTGATATGAATTTGGGAACCATTCAAATGGGTGGGTAAAGTTCCCTACTGAATGAGTTGCACTTAGAATGTAGAGGCCTTGAAAGATTTTCAGTCCTGTTGTATTAGTTACCTCTTGCTTTAAAACAAATTACTTCTGACATTAGCAGCTTAAAGCAATTATTATCTCACACATTTTCTGAGGGTCAGAAATCCAGGGGTTGTTTAGCTCAGCAGTTCTAGCTGTGAGTACCACACGAGTTTGCAAAACCGGCTATTCCCTGGGTCTGCAGTCACTTATGGCTCCAATGGTAGAGGATCCACTTCCAAGAAGGCTCAATTACATGGTTATTTATTGGAGTCCTCACCATGTGGACCTCTCCATGGGCTGCTTCAGTGTTCTTACAACATAAAAGCTGAGTCCCACAAAGCAAGTGATCTGAGCAGGGGAGACAGCCGGCAAGCGTCCTCCTCAAGATAGAAAATGCAGTCTTCGTATAACTGAATCTCAGTAGGTACATGCCACCACTTTTGCCCTATTTCATTCATCAGAAGTATGTCCCTAATCCAGCCCATATTCAAGTAGGTGAAAATTAAATTTTACCTCTTGAAGGAGAGAGTTTGAAAGAATTCATGGACATAATTTTAAAACCACTATACTGCTATTACAACAAAAAATGAAAAAAAAGTTTTCCTCTAAGTTTACTGGAGAGTTGTGCACATATTAAATTATAAAGGAACTAAGTTCCAGAGAAACGATGCCATCTCTTCTTTCTTTTCTTTTCTTTTCTTTTTTTTTTTTTAAGTTGGAGTCTTGCTCTTTTCACCCAAGCTGGAGTGAAGTGGCACAACCTCGGCTCAGTGTATCCTCCGCCTCCTGGGTTCAAACAATTCTCCTGCCTCAGCCTCCTGAGTAGCTGGGATTGAAGGTGCCTGCCACCACACCTGGCTAATTTTTTTGTTGTTGTTGTTGTACTAGAGATAGGGTTTCACTATGTTGGCCAGGTTGGTCTCAAACTCCTGACCTCAGATGATCTGCCTGCCTTAGCCTCCCAAAGTCCTGGGATTACAGGCGTGAGCCACTGCGTCCAGCCGAAATGATGTCATCTCGAATGGTGGGCTGGAGTATGCTTTAATGCCTGGAGTCGGTTGTTGAACTTGAAGTAGGGATAATGGCATCATTTTATCTTAAAAGCTTTCTCACTTTTAATTGTTGATTAATCATTGAAAGCCTGCCAATTATGTCTCTTCAATGAATCAAGTCAGTTCAGCAGCAGCCACCCAATTCTCAGCCCTTATGTTTACAATTTCCCTGTTTCCTTTCTAGTATTTTAAATACTGTATCAGCCAGTGGGGCCCCTTCTATCAGCATGCCATTCAAGCTCACCACCTGTGAAAGTTTTAAGCATTGTACTACCACAGGATGCAAGGAGCTGTCCATATTCCACAAACTACAAGTGTTATAATTCTTGTAATATTTATAATTCAGAGTAGCATCACGTGAGATGGGCATGGTAACCAGGGGTTCAGACTCTTCCAAGACAAGGGTTTAGGTCATCTCACCAAAAAATTGACCCAGACCAGGTCTGGTGCTAGCTGTAGAAAGGAGAATCTAGAATGAATGACAGAGAAAGGGGATGACTGAGTATCAGTTATGGCTTCAAGATCAACTGCAGCAACAGATCTTGAAGAAGCTATCCCGAATGGGGCAAATTATTAAGAAAAACAAGTGAACATAAATGGCACAAAGGATGGGCTGTAGGGGACACTTTTTGAAGCAGTGTCCCCATCCCCCAGCTGCTAGGATTGTCAACTGCTGATGGCTCACAGAAGTACCTTTTATGGGAATTTCACTGGGCCGCCAAGAACGGACTGACCCAACGTTGTATCTCCCACCAGAGGTGATTCTCAGCTAGTAACTGGCTGAAGCAGAGATTCAAAGCCTCAGCCATCTAGCCTCAATTTGAGACAACTGTGAAGGTTTATTCTATCTCCATATAAGATCAGCTGATGTCCTGGATGCAGCTGTATCACGAGTCAGCCTCTCTCTGTGTCCATTTTGCTTTCATCAAGTTCCTTATAGGTGTATCCCCCAAGCGTGCTCCGCAATAAATCTTCTGCATGCAACTCTGTCTCAATATCTGTTTCCAGAGGTCTCAATCTAAGATACAGTATTTGAAGAAAAAAGAAAGAAAAAATTATTATTAATCAGAAAATATTTCTACATTTTCAAACACATTGATAATTCAAATTCTTATCATCCATTAAGTTGTCATTGGAGAAATCTGAATGATTCAAGTGTCACTGCACTATCTGCACACATTTCTTAATCATTTCTTCATTTTAAATGGGAGATATATACCTTTTGGTAAAATTACTATTGGAAATAGACTTGGATTTAAAAATAATAGTCCCATCTTGAGTTTTGTTTTATAACCAACTGTTCTTTCCAAATGCTGCCCAGATGACAATGCGTGATCTCAGGCCCACCACAGATACTTTGCTATGAATTCACAGGTCAGCACAAGGAGTCAACAACCCTTCAAGGACTTACAAGCCAGTCCACTTTGTAGCAGTCACTCTCCAGAAACTGGACTTATCTAAAGTCCAGATTTTTCTTCCACCTCTGAGTCATTCAGTCATATAGAGATTGTTAGTGACTCTTCTCTGATGCCTTAAAATTCCTTTTTTGGCATTTAATGTCCAGGCTCCTTTTGTAATTGTTTAATGTCTAATTCTATAATAAATTCTTTATTTTGAAATACTCATAGTGGTTTCGCATATTTGATAGAGCCCTGACCAATTTAAATGTCTTGAAATTGCACCACAACGAGCCTAATTTTTTTTCCTTTTCATTTAAAATAATCTATGTAATTTGGCACTTTATAAATCCTTTTAAACAGAGGCTTTACATCTTTCCGAAATAGATTTTAAAATAGATTTTACTTGAGCTATTTCTTCCTTGTAAATTTGTTCATTTATTTACTTTTCATTTTTTTTCTGTTCTATTTGGACTCCATGAGACAGGATGTTTGCATTTATTGTCTTATCCTTCAGGTATCTTTATTTTCCATTTATGTTTTTTCATTTCCTTATCTCATATTGGTACCTTATGGAAGAATCCCAATACAGTTGCAGTGTATTGGCTTATTCTTCAGCTATATCCATTCTTGTAGTCAATTTACCTTTTGAATTATTTATTTCTTATTTGTTATATTTTATTATGCAGTGCCTCTAGTTATTTGTTTTTTCAAGACATTTTGTCCTTGATTCATTTTGAAGGTTCTCCTTTTTTTCTCTCATGATATTTAATATGCTTATTTTCTGTTTCAAGAATTTTTGTTCCTGATTCATGTTTTCAAGGTGGAAGCTTGTTTCTCTGATAGTATTTAATATACTTATTTAAGTTTGTACCATTTGGCCTCTTATTCCATTTGGTGTGTTATATAATGGTCAGTTGTCGTGTTTGTCTTTGGATGACAAAAGCTAAAACAGTGTATCCTTTGTGTGGTAAATCTGTAGAAAATATAATTGTAAACTTTCAATATATTCTTATTAAATGGGTGGGGATAAATAAAAGAAGAATAACTGTTATCACTACTACTATCAATGTAGTATGGGAGTTAGAAGCCTACGGCCAGTGCAATAAGATACAAAGCATGTGAAAAAATACTATATACATACATATAGTAGAAAGACAAAACTGTCACTAGAGAAGATATAACCAACTACTTATAAAACTCAAAAAACCTACTAATATATTCTTTTTACTAACACCAAAATGCAGCAAGGGTGTACATATTATCAACCTATATAAGCCAAACATTCCTCTAGATAAGCTAAAACTAACTAGCAAATATAACAAAAAAGAGAAAATTTATAATAGCAATAAAAATATATAAAAAGTAGTAATTTACCTCCTAAAAGATCAAGAACTTTATTAAAAACACACTCTTTTAAAAGATGTATAAGATTATTTGAAATCAGCAAAGAAATATAACATGTTTATGAAGAGGTTAACTTAACTGCTTTGTAAAGGGGTCATGAACATATACCACTGAAGCCATATGGTGCAGACACAATATTGAGTTTATTAGAGGAAAACTTACAACAGAGTAGTAGCAGAGCTATGCAGTCTCCAATTATTAGTCCGTGGCTTAGGTAGGTTATGTAGATAGTATGTGTGCACATTGGCTAATGATCCAACAGATTGGAGCTTACTTTTGCTGGTAAGTCAGACATACAATTGAGAGCACTGCAAGAGCAAGAACAAGCTCTGCACCCAAGCCTCATTACATATATGCATATATTACACTATGTACCTTACGAAGAGTAGGGAACACCTAGTTTCTCTAAATATCAGGAAACATATCAGGAGATCTTCCAGCCAAGAAGCAACCTTAAGAACTATGCATATGGATGACTAAAATCTGCATACAGGGGTCATGGGAAAGCCTTGCCTGCCAAGAATACTGACATCAGCAAAAGGCTGAGCCAGTTTTCTGATAATCTACTTATAGAGGGAAGGAAAGATGTCTCCAGGGCCATCTGCAGTTGCCTCTCATCATTAACATTATGAAAATCTATACTCTTCCAATATTAATCTAAAGAAATTAATGTAAAATTTCAAATAAAATTCCAGAAGGTTATTTTTAAAGATTCAACAACTTATAGAATTTATATAATATTGCCTATTTTAAAATTAAAGATAGGAGCCTAGACCCTAAATGATATGAAAATGTACTACAGAAATACATAATAACAAAAATAATTTGGCACTGAGGCAGCCATAGCACACAGATCATTGGAACAGACTAAAGCAGGGTTCCTCAACCTCAGGACTATCTATAGCTTGAGCCATTTAATTTGTTGCTGTGGGGGTTGGGGGCTGTTATATGCACTGTAAGAACATTGGGTCTCTACCTACCAGATCTTTGATAGTATCTCAGCCCCCCATCTCCCAATTTTGACAAGCCAGAAGTTCTCCAGTTATTTCCAAATTTCCTCTGGGGGACAAAATTGACCCTGGTGCAGAACCACTGGGCTAGAATGCTAAAAAATAAAGTCATGCATTATCAGACAATGATTTTATGAAATGAGCACTACAGACCAATGGGGAAGATGATTTACTGATGACATTAAGAAAATTGGTTCACATATGGAGAAAAATAAGGCTAGATACTATGGTGGGCTGAATAATCACCAAAGTTTTTCACATCCCACTCCATAGACCTTGTAATTTTTATCTTACATTGCAGAAGGGGACTTTGCATATGTGATTAAGTTAATATCTTGAGATGGGAAGATTATCCTGGATGCGTATGATATAATCACATGGTTCTTGTAAGAAAAAAAAATGATGAGAACATGGAAGCAGAGAGATTGGAAGATGTGATGCTTTTCGCTTTGAAGATGGAGAAAGGAGACATGAACCATGGAATGTAAGGACTGCCTCCCTAGAAGCTAGAAAAGGCAAGGAAATGGATTATCCTCTAGAGCCTCCACAGGGAGTATGGCCCTGATAACACCTTGCTTTTGGCCTAGTAACAGATTTCTCTCTTTCAAATCTATAAGAGAATAAATCTGGATTGTCTTAAGTCACTAGGTTTGTGGTAATTTGTTATAGCAACATTAGGAAACTGACAGAGGTACCTATTTCTATATATATATAGTGGAAAATGCTGAAAGGATTAAGACATCTACATAAAATGAAAAATAAAATAAAGCTTATAGCAGATATTTTTGGAAAATAAATCTTTGAACTTAGGCTGGGAAATGAGTTTTAACTAAGACTTCTAAAACAAAATTCTAAGCAAAACAAAATATACTTAACTACATCTAAATATTATTGAATAGACAGTTTATGGAGGAACTATTTACAAAGTCTGAACAGAGTTGAAGGGGTTAAAATATGCTATTCTGGCACACTGGCTATTTAAAATAGCCAATGTAAAAACACTGGAAAAACAGGAGGTGCAAGAAGATCACTTTGACCATTGTGCTGTTTCTAAAAAGCAGAATATGAACTTGCCATATGAAAGACACTATCCCCTGTACTAGAAGGCAAGGCAATATCCTTATCTTGAAGGACAAGAAGTCAAAACCAAGAAAATAGTGTACAGACCTTGTTAGAATAACTGTCATCTTTTAAGCCTCCCCACATAATTTAGCCACATTTTCAAACTTTACTATTCTTTGTCCAATTCACGATATATATATATATATATATATACACACACACATATATACACACACACATATGTGTATATGTATATGTGTGTGTGTATATATATGTATATAAAACTCTAAATGGTTATTTGGGTCTTCATTTATTTATGAGGACTCCTATGCTATGTAAAACTTATACTATGCTTTTCTCCTGTTAATCTGTGTTATGCCTATTTAATTCTTGGAGCTGGACAGGACCCTAAAAAGGTGGAGGTGGAGATTTCCCACCCCTACGGAGTCAAGTGACAAAAGTTAATAAAGTACTCGGGGCTAACAACAGTGACTAGCCTTCATCACCCATAGGCCTGAATGGTTCTCAGAAGCAAATTAAAACTGCAGCTGTGGCCTTGCAAAAGGATGCAGCTACTGCCAAGTCATGATTTGGAAGGGAAGAATTTGGGAGAATACCTGTTTCCTTCCTGTTTTCTTCATCTCTCTCTTCTCCTGTTTTCCTATCTCATGATGGTGTTTCCTATTGTATATTTCCAGGTATTCCAGAGGATACCTGGAAACCAGAGAGCTGGAGAGGCTGGTTGGGGCAGTCCGTGAAGGCCAGCTTCATGAGTCACAAAGCAGGTGTGGAAAAGTGACAGTTGATCTGCAGGGTCATAAATAGAACGTTCAGCACAATCAATATTATTATTTTATTCAAAAAATATACCTTAGAAAAATAACACAAGTGGAAATTTTAAAAACTATTTCAAAGTCAAAAATTAGTAAGTGATGACACCCCTAGAAACAGCAAAATAAGGAAATCTGAAAGCCTCTTGTGCATAAAAATAACACTGGTTAAAAAAATGATCACTCAACTTCTTCAGAACTTTGGAAATAAAGTAAAGGCTTGGAATAATGTGAGGAATATTTACTGAAGAGTGACTGAATTGCAGAAGGAGCAATAAACGTGACATTTCACTTGCTGTGTACTCCCACCCGCTTCTCCCCAGCTCTGCAGTGGCCTTGAAAACCAACAGTTTCATGATGTTAGTCATCATGAAAACCAGTTGCCAAGCAGTCACTGGAGACAGCAGAAGAATGTAAAGCTTCCCTAAAAAGCCCATCCCCAGGGAATTGTCATTACGGGATCTATCTGGCTGTTTTCTGCAAATCCCCACTTGCATGGCTTGTTTTTATTTAACCTGATCAGAACTGACTCACTGTGAATGGCTTTCTCCCTGAGGCATTTGTGAAAACAATCATTGGAAATTTTGTGTTTTTCTATTGGTACATAACATTTGTACATATTTACATGGCTTTTTTTTTTTTTTAACGTTGAAGCTGCCTGAGGTGGTGATAACAGTTGGAACCAACAACAAGCTGACCAAACAGCTGAAAAGGAAGCAAGAGGCTGAGCCTAAAATAAAAGTTGGAAAGGAATTAAAAAGAAAGAAAGAAAGAAAGAAAACACTGGGAACTAAAAAAGCCATAGAGGGGCTTTGAAAACTTTCTAAAATAATCTGAGAAATTTAGAAGGCTGCACACATGAGCAGAGCTGTATGTATGCCCAAGAAAGACCTAAGAAATCTCTGATTTCTCTTCTTTGACTAACCTTGAAGTTCTGTGCAAGCAGGAAGTAAAGGCTAAAGGAGAATTTTAAACTGCCAAGCAGTTCACTTAAGGTATACCACAACACACAAACTAGCTCCTTGGTGAAATCTGGGAGGTTTATTGCTTTGAGGCATTTAAACTTCAGTGGCTACATACGACAAAAAGTTCATACAACAAAAATAACAATTTTACAAAAGTAGTTCTAGAAAGTCTCTAAAGAAACAAACAGCAATCAGCAGCAGCAACAAACAGCAACTCTACCACCCTGGAGGGTGAATACGTTATATTATTTAAAGGTCTAGATTTCAACAAAGCATCGCAAGAAATGCAAGAAACAAGAAATTATGGCCCTTGTACAGGGCAGGGAGAAAACACAGTAGAAACTGTCCCTGGGAAAGCCTTGGAGTTAAACACTGGAGTTACCAGAAAAATATTGATAGCAGCTATTTTGAATATGTTCAAAAAACTAAAGGGAACTATAGGTAAAGAACTGGAGGAATGTATGAGAATATTTCACCCAATAAAGAACCACCATGGCAAGTGTATACCTATGTAACAAACCTGCACATTCTACACATGTACCCCAGAACTGAAAGTATAATTTAAAAAAGTGGGATTATTATATTTTTATTGTAAAATAATTAGCAAATTAAAATTTTATATGTTAAAAAAAGAGTTTCAATAAAGAGATAGAAATTATTTTTTAAAAACATGTACAAAAATTCTGGAGTTGAAATATACTATAACTGAAATGAAAATTTCACAAGAGGGCTCGACAGTAGATTTGAGCTAGTAGAAGAAAGAATTGGCAAACTTCAAGATAGGCCAATTGAAATTATCTAGTCTGAAGAATAGAAAGAAACAAGAATGAAGAAAAATGAGTAGAGCCCTAGAGACCTGAGGAGCAGCTTAAGCTGGTTATGCTCCTCCACCGAGGCCACTGCTCTCCAGGTGTAGACTTTGGCACGGCTCTTTTTTTTTAGGTTTTAGCAACCATGATCCGCATTTATTTTTTTGAACCTAGAGGTCCAAGGAGCTCTGCTGCTTCTAACCCTGGGTAACAAAATAACCTTTGTGGTTTCCCTAAGCCCTATCCACATCTTTTAAAAATTGTTCATTTGTAAATATTCTCCTTCAAATTGTCTTAGTTGAGTAATAATTACACACGTTTATTACAGCAGACAAATGAAGACCACCTAATTGTGCTATTTAATTGCAAGAAAAAAATGAATGAGATGTATTTAGAACAACAGTCCTCCTATACCTAACAAACATAGGGTTGAATGAAATAAAAAGACATACAATAAAACTGTTAGTACCTCAAATTGATATTTTATGTACATGTAAAACTCATAGTATTCTACTACTTTTTCTTTCCTTTTTATTTTTATAAATAGAGATTGGGTGTCACTATGTTGTCCAGCTGGTCATGAACTCTGGCCTCCAGCAATCCTCCTGTTTCACCTCCTAAAGTGCTGGGATTATAAGTGTGAGCCACTGTGCCCAGCCTACTTTTTCAAAGACATGTAGATATTCCATGACATGCTATCATGGGTACTCATTGAAAAAAGAAGGCAGTGGAAATAATATCAAGAATGAAGGGAAGAATAAAATTATACATGTGAGGAACCTTCATGGACAAATAGACTCTGTCATGAGCTAAGGAGTTTGACTAATTGAACTCACTCATGGATGTCCAGAAAAAGGCAAATACACAAACATAAAATTCATGGTTTGAGTCAAGTAATCTCTGGAATCTTTTAGGTTTTGAAGTTATTTTCAAATATAATTATGGATTTAAGATTTCTCAAGATGAAACTGGGCAATCCCATTTTCTAAAATGGCAGATTGGTGATGAATCTGCCTACGATTACACCCATTCAACACCAAAGTGAAGAATTCTGCCTAATGGAAGTTGTCATTTTGACCATTTAGGAGAGGATGAGCAATGAGGTCGTCGGCTGGACAGGTGCTTCCTATGGATTGAGTGTTAGAGTAGAACTGTGGGAAGTGGTAACTAGGAGACTTTTATGGACAGAATGAAGATACAGATGGATCCATAGATAAAGTCAACCTCAAGAATGGGCATTACACATTTTTGCTCTTGAATTGTCTGTATATATATTTTAAAGCTGCACTATATTTTTCCTAATGCTACGTATCAATGTATTGTTATATTAAATCACACCAAGTTGCACCTCAATTACAATAATCATATTAAAATGGTAGATACTTTTGTTTTTGAGTAGTCCAAATTAACAAAAATGAGGGAAGCCATTGATCATTGTTGGAGAAGATAAGAAAGGGGTTACGTTTGATTATCAGAATAAGAGAGGTTTTGAGAAGATAGTGAGGAAAGAAAAATGCCAGGTGTCACCCTATCTAAAAATAAGTGATAACTATTTACTTTGATTAACATTTCATGTGGCTGGCAATCAAACCCAAATAATTTAGATGTGGGAGAATGTGGGCTGTGTAAGATATACTTGACTTGACAAGTGTGGGAAGGGGATTTGGCAGAAAGATTCTAAAGATAGAGAACAGATAATTTTTTAAAAGAAAACTATTTTGCTTATGACATTGATTTAACTCATAAAAGTAGAAATTGTTTTTAATGCTAGCTGTCTCTTCATTTGGGACTATTTTAAATTCTTATGTGAATGATGATGATTTATGTTTAATTATCACATCGCTAACTTTTAAAAGCAGTTCTATAGTCTTAATTAATTATTTTGAGTAGGCAATCATATTCTAAGAAAACAACCAGAGGTCGGGTGCAGTGGCTCACGCCTGTAATCCCAGCATTCTGAGAGGCCAAGGTGGGTGGATCACCTGAGGTCAGGAGTTCGAGACCAGCCTGGCCAACATGGTGAAACCCCATCTCTACTAAAAATACAAAAAATTAGCCGAGTGTAGTGGCTTGCACCTGTAATCCCAGCTACTCAGGAGGCTGAGGTAGGAGAATCGCTTGAAACTGGGAGGCAGAGGTTGCAGTGATCCAAGATCGTGCCAGTGCACCCCAGCCTGGGCAACAGAGCAAGATTCGGTCTCCAAAAAAAAAAAAAAAAAAAAAAAGGGAAAGAAAACAATAAACTACAAGTAGCATAAGAATATCTTCCTTTTGGATGTCTTCAAAGATGGGACCTATGCACATAGTTGCCATAGTATGTGATTGAGATTAAATGAAATAAGCTATGTTTACTCTGTGGAACAAAAGAGGCCAGCTGGATTCCTGCAGAGCCAGTCCCTTGGTGCCAGAGAGAATCTTTACCAGGTCCAGTTAATCTCTTGCACCATCGATGAGACCTTAGAGGTAGCTGTGTAGATGTTGAATTGGAATTTTAGCTATTGTCATTCTAGAAAAGGGAATTAATCATTTACAGATAAGGTAAAAAGGAAAGAGAAATGTATTCTCTTACACAACATGGGTTTGAACTGTGTGGGTTCACTTTTATGCAGATTTTCTTCCACCTCTGCCATTGCTGAGACAGCAAGACCATCCCCTTCTCTTCCTCCTACTCCTTAACCTGCTCAGTGGGAAGACAATGAGGATGAAGACCTTTATGATGATCCACTCCCACTTAATGAATAATAAGTATATTTCTCTTCCTTGTGATTTTCTTAACTTTTTTTCGGCTTACAATATTGTAAGAATACAGTATATATTACATATAACAAACAAAATATATGTTTACCAACCACTTGTGTTATCATAAGGCTTCTCGTCAACAGTAGGCTATTAGCAGTTAAGATTTTGGGGAGTCAAAATTAATGTGGAGTTTTGACTGCACCAGAGGCTGGTTCCCCTAGCCCCTGCACTGTTCAAGGGTCAACTGTATTGAGAAAACAGTTTGAAGTCCAACTTGCCAGTTACACAATTGGCAGTCGGAAATACTATACAACACTTTCAAGATTCTGGAAGTCACAGTCTTTGGTAGCACATTTGTTTCACATGTATGCTCCAGCACCCAAATCGTAATTGTAAAGATGTCTATTGTTTTGCTGTATTTTCCCAGACAGTTATTATTTGTGTTCAACTGTGCACGAAGCAGGCCTCCTGATTGACTTAAGTTTCAGGGTGAAACAGAAAAGCAGGTGGGAGCAATGCCATGATTCTGCAAACTTTCAGAATATTGCAGCTTCCCCCCTTATCTCTGAGCAGGGAAATGCTTTCTGAAGTGAGCCGAACATTCACCAGACCTCTGTGTTACTTTGAAGTGCTTGCTTTTCCCAGCAGTTCTGACCGATCTTTAGGGGGAAGTGGAATTCTCTGAGCTGGGTGCCTCATGGACCATTGAGAGTGGCTGGTGTACAGCTGGTTTTAAGAAGGCAGAAACTTTCTCTTCTGAAGATTTAAATGCTTTGCAGGTCTGTAATGAAAGCAACACAGACCGTTGGCTGATTGCCTGACTTCTCTGCTTTCCTGAAAATTCAGCTCATGTGAGAGACAAGAGGGACACTAACTTACGTGGTGTGGACTTCCATCCGGAATATCACACTGGATGATGCCCTCATCATTGTCTTGAATATTTACTGCCCGTCAACTAGAAGAATAGGAACATTTAGTTATCACTTAGCTGTGGATGTTACCAATAAAAAAGCCACAAAATTGTCTGACTATTCTACATAAGGCCAAGGGAATATTTTCTCTAAATCCTTTCACAGTTTTAATTTTGAATAAAACAGAGTATGTATATTTTGTAATCAGCATTTTGTAAATTATATTTCTAAATGATGATAGGTACATCAAAATAGAATTTGGAGTCCAAAGTTCTAGTTATGTGTGAATGGTAGGGAAATTCTCTTCTAAAGTATGTATGGTCACTGCATTACAGAGCTCTTTATAATTAGCCCTTAATTATAAGAGAATTGACAGCAGTATTTCTCTAACTGGAATAGATAGTTTACTTGATTATGATGATTAGAGGACACTTTTGTCTATTGTTAGCTACAGGACTTTTGGCAAAAGTCTGATCATGCCATTCTTCTGCTCAGAACTCTCCAATAACTTCCCATATTACTCAGAGTTTAAGTCATTGAATTACTATTAGCCACAACGCCCTACATGATAAGTTCCACTGTTCTTCCACCCACCTCACCCCTCTTATTGCTTATATTACATGCCACTTGGCTCACTGCATTCCAGACATACTGATCTCTGTTGTTCCTCTAGAGGAACAGAACGTTTACGCTTGCAGTTTCCTATGCCTGGAAAACTTTCATCTTCCTAAAAATTTCATGGCTTACTTTCTCATTTCCTTTAGTCCTTTCTCACATATGCCACCTGTGATACTTCTCCCACTGTCCTGTCTAAAGTTGCATCCCCCTCTATGCAGTACTTTTAATAAACAGAATATATATTTTATACATTGTTTATTGTCTATCTTCTTATTGGAATGTAATCTTCATGAAGGAAGATATTTTAGTCTCTTTTGTTCAGTACTGTCACTCAGGTAACTAGAAAAATATCAAGTATGTAGTAATCACTCAATAAATATTTGTTCAAAAGTAAACGGTAGCTGACATTTATTGCATGCTTCTTCTATGCTACATACTCTTTTAACTACTTTATATGTGTGTGATTTGCTAGTCACAATGGTTCTGCCTTTCTTCATTTCACTGAAAATAAAACTGAAAAGGG